>NW_021159994.1:0-125549 GCF_000001405.40 Homo sapiens | reverse complement strand
TGGTAGCGTAAATTAGTTCAACCATTGTGGAAGACAGTGTGACAATTCCACAAGGATCTAGAATCAGAAATACCGTTTGACCCAGCAATCCCATTACTGGGTATATACCCAAAGGATTACAAATCGTTCTACTATAAAGACACATGCACACGTATGTTTATTGCAGCACTATTCACAATAGCAAAGACTTGGAACCAACCCAAATGCCCATCAATGTTAGACTGGATAAAGAAAATGAGACTATGCAGCCATAAAAAAGAATGAGTTCATGTCTTTTGCAGGGACATGGACGAATTTGGAAACCATCATTCTCAGCAAACTAACACAGGAACAGAAAACCAAACACCACATGTTCTCACTCATAAGTGGGAGTTGAACAATGAGAACACATGGACACGGGAGGTGAACATCCCACATAGGGGCCTGGCAAGGGGTCGGGGGCTAGGGGAGGGATAGCATCAGGAGAAATACCTAATGCAGATGATGGGTTGATGGGTGCAGCAAACCACCATGACATATGTATATATGAACTTAAAGTATAATAAAAAAGTTAAACTATAATACAAAAGATAAATAAATAAGAATATTTGTATATATATCGTTAAGAAAACATTGAGAATATTTTATCAGAAGAAATTTTATTTGTTTCTTCATTGGGCTTTATGAGGACAAGTTGAGAATTCAAGCAATAAAAAGCCAATGTAAGCATGCTTTTTAAAAAGAGGCATCATAAACAGTTTTCTCTCAATGAATGGATGAGTTTGACAAATAAACAGCTTTTTAAGCAATAATTAATAATATGTTATTAGAACATGTTTCTTTCTCCATTGGTTCGTATGACATAGGTTTATATATGCAGCTACATAAGCATACTTTCTTTAAAGTGCCTCGTGAACTATTCTCTTTCAGTGAATCCAAGAGTTTGACTGAGAAACACCTTTGTAAGCAAACACTGAAAATACGATAATAGAGTATGTTTCTTTCTCTATTGGGCTCTATAAGGATAAGTAGGTAAATATTGCCATAAAAATATTTTATATCTTTCCTTATGCCACATACCTAGATATTTCTCCATGTTAAGTACATAACAAATCCACCAACCACGATGCATATATGATTAATACATTTTAAAAAAGGATTCCTAAACATGCTACCAGAGACCCTATCACAGCTGAAATGTCTTTTATTTAGGAGATTATTTAGAAAACTATCAATTCTGTTAACTATATATTCATTATATTCTCACCTATCCCATATTCATCCCTTTTGCATAAATATTTCATGAAAAATTGGGTTACCTAGTTGGTAAATGTATATGACGTATGACATTTTCTTGATATACACATTTTCTGATGAATACATTTGTGTGCATGTGGTATTCATCTGTATGTGTGTTTTAAGTTCACTTACATGTACTCTTCTTTCCAATTATAAATCCAACATTACACATTGACTACTATCTCCTTAATCTCTCTCATTTTTTTAACTCCTACCACATTTTTTGCTCTTTGACCTTCTGCTTTCTTGTAGCCCCTTGATTTTTATTTTCTAATGTGAGCACTGACCTTATCTTCCTTTATCATCCAATTTATAATGCTGTTACTCTATAACTTCTTCTTTTACTACTACCCAACACAGGGCAGGCACTGTTGTGTATGGTTTATATAGATTAAAAAGGAATTTGGCCCTGTGTGGTGGCTCATGGCTGTAATCCCAGCATTTTAGGAGGCCAAGGTGGGTGGATCGCCTGAGGTCAGGAGTTCAAGACCAGCCTGATTAACATGGTGAAAACTTGTCTCTGCTAAAAATATAAAATTAGCTAGGTGTGGCAGCATATGCCTGTAATCTCAACTACTCAGGAGGCTGAGGCAGGAGAATCACTTGAACCCAGGAGGCTGAGGCTGCAGTGAGCTGAGAGCATGCCATTGCACTCCAACCTGGGCAATAGAAGGAGACTCTGTCTCAAAAAAAAAAAAAAAAAGGATTTACAACCCTGTGAGGCCACTACTATTATTGATTCATTATGTAGATTAAGACACCCAGGCACAGAGAATATTGCACCACCATACTCTCATAAATTGAAAATAATTGCTCTTTTTGTCCCATTACCTAAATCTTTCTCTTGCCAATATTTTAAACTTTTTTGTCATCTCATCCTTTCTCCTTCTTTTCTTCCACCAACCTTTCCTAGAATAATTGCAAGTTAGATGAAACACTTTGTTCTCACCTCTAGGTAACTAAATGATTTTGTGGAAAAACAGAATACGGCTATACAGATATCATAGTCTGGCTGATTAAATATATATTATATATATTTATATATAAATGTTATACATTATATATTATATATATTTATATATAAATATTATATGTTATATATTATATATATTTATATATATATTATGTTATATATTATATATATTTATATATATATTATATGTTATATATTATATATATTTATATATATATTATATGTTATATATTATATATATTTATATATATATTATATGTCATATATTATATATTTATATATAAATATTATATGTCATATATTATATATTTATATATAAATATTATATGTCATATATTATATATTTATATATAAATATTATATGTTGTATATTTATATATAAATATTATATGTTGTATATTTATATATAAATATTATATGTTGTATATTTATATATAAATATTATATGTTGTATATTTATATATTGTATAATATTTTATATTTATTAATTAACTAAAATTAATAATATAATATTAAATATATTATTTATACCCTCATCTGGAGGGGTGTGTGTGTGTGTGTGTGTGTGTGTGTGTGTATGTGTGTATATATATATGTACCTAATCTGAAGACTCAACTAGGGTATTTATATATACCCTCATCTGGAGGGTATATATGGAGACTCAATCTGCTCAATCTGGAGACTCAACTAGGTAAGAATATGCTTCTAAACACATCCCAGATGTTTGGAAGATTTTATGTCCTTATGGTTGTATGACTGAGCTCCCATTTTCTTGCTAAATATCTATCAGGAACGGCTCTGAGCTCCTAGATACACGATCAGAGCTCCAACATCAGAGCTTATCTTGTCTATTCTTCTTGAAACTGTCTCCTTTCTTATCTTTGACCTGCGAGCCACTCTGAGGTCCTTACTATATAACTACCTCTCATAGACAGTTCGCAAAATGGCTATTCGCTTCTTCAAGGCCAGCAGGAGAGATTTCGCATTTTGAACCTCTTCCTTCAAGAAGAGCCAAACCCTTTCAAAGGCTCTTTCGATTGAAGCACACCTCCCCAGGATAATCTCAATCCTTAACTTCATCTGTTTTCTCTAATCTCTTAATCTTTTACTCTTCCCAAATGACTTCATTTCTTTGGAACATGGTGATACAAGTCATAAACAGAACACTCTGATTTATGAAATGTGTATTTCTTTCCATTCCTACCCATTTCCCCCTTTCAAAGAAAATATTATCATTGACACTTTCTAAGGTTAATCTGTTTTTGTTTTGTTTTGTTTTGTTTATTTGAGACGGAGTCCCGCTCTGTTGCCCAGGCTGGAGTGCAGTGGCGCGATCTGGGCTCACTGCAAGCTCTGCCTCCCGGGTTCACGCCATTCTTCTGCCTCAGCCTCCCGAGTAGCTGGGATTATAGGCGCCACCATGCCCGGCTAATTTTTTGTATTTTTAGTAGAGGCGGGGTTTCGCCGTGTTAGCCAGGATGGCCTCTATCTCCTGACCTCGTGATCCGCCCACCTCGACCTCCCAAAGTGCTGGGATTACAGGCGTCAGCCACTGCGCCTGGCCTAAGGTTAATCTTTTTCTTTTCATCTGGATCCTTTTGACTGTCTGCTTTTTATTATCTTTTTTATTAATTATAAATAGTCTTCTTTATCTTCTATCTTTCAATACTATCTTTTTTTTTCAGCAAACACTGCTAGTTTACATTAGTTTCCCTCAAAAATTTAAAAGTTATTAACATTGTCCTTTTAAGGAAACTTTTTAGTGATTTTTGCCGAATTTCATCACCTGAAATTTTAATATCACAGATATACATTGTCTGTTTATATATTACACGTATCTCAGTGCTTTGCTCATTAAAAAGTAAGACTTTTTTCATGCCCACCTACCAAAAAAAAAAAAAACAAAACCTAATTTTGCCCATGGGGGTGATACTGTCCTCACTAAGAGTACAAGCTCTACACTATGACCACCCTGCGTTTCTAGCTACCATTCAACCTTCCTTCTTTTCATGATAAACATTATTGAAAGACTGAGGTCTTCCCTCATATCCATTTCTCAGGTTCTTACAATTTAACTTCTGCCCTTACCATTTTCTTGAATTTTTCACAAAGGTCATCACTGTCTTATTCTTTGCTTAATCTAATAGACACATTTTAGTCCTTATTATATTTGAACTCTTTTTGACATTTTACACTGCTGATCTTGCCTTTTCTTCTTCAAACTGTCTCCTTTCTTGTCTTTGAAGAAAGCAATGTTTTTCTATGTGACCTGGTTCACTCTTTTCTGTGTGTCATTTTTTTTTAATCTCCCAATCACTTAGAATTCCATATTCAACTTCTACTTACCTTTATATATTTTGTGTGTTATTTAATCCCCTGTCCTCACCTACCACCTCTATGCTGATAAGCCAACTCTTATCTTCCTCTAGATTTCTCTGGAGCTCCAGGAACATTCACCTTTCTGATTTGTATGGCCCACAAATACACAGAGCCACCATTTTCATCACCACTGCTGGTTCCTGCCTACCTTTCTTATTTGAACAAAAGACATTATTTTCAATCTAACTTATATGACCTGAGGATCTTCTTTCTTGATTGTTCTTTTTCTCTCAGTCACCATAATTATTTATGTATAAGAAGGTTAAAAAAGATATTATTTCTCCACATCCTCTCCAGCACCTGTTGTTTCCTGACTTTTTAATGATTGCCATTCTAACTGGTGTGAGATGCTATCTCATAGTGGAACACTTTTACACTGTTGATGGGACTGTAAACTAGTTCAACCATTGTGGAAGTCAGTGTGGCGATTCCTCAGGGATCTAGAACTAGAAATACCATTTGACCCAGCCATCCCATTACTGGGTATATACCCAAATGACTATAAATCATGCTGCTATAAAGACACATGCACACGTATGTTTATTGCGGCATTATTCACAATAGCAAAGACTTGGAACCAACCCAAATGTCCACCAATGATAGACTGGATTAAGAAAATGTGGCACATATACACCATGGAATACTATGCAGCCATAAAAAATGATGAGTTCATGTCCTTTGTAGGGACATGGATGAAATTGGAAACCATCATTCTCAGTAAACTATCGCAAGAACAAAAAACCAAACACTGCATATTCTCACTCATAGGTGGGAATTGAACAATGAGATCACATGGACACAGGAAGGGGAATATCACAATCTGGGGACTGTGGTGGGGAGGGGGGGAGGGGGGAGGGATAGCATTGGGAGACATACCTAATGCTAGATGACGAGTTAGTGGGTGCAGCGCACCAGCATGGCACATGTATACATATGTAACTAACCTGCACAATGTGCACATGTACCCTAAAACTTAAAGTATAATTAAAAAAAAAAAAAGAAAAAAAAAGATATTATTTATTTTGATTTTCATTCTGAATCATCTGAACCAAAGGATTAACATGAATCCATTAATAAAGGCTTTTTGTCTTCCATCCAAATATCCTCCAGCACATCATCTTTACTGCAGCCATAGAATATTTTTAAAATCTAAATCTGATTCTTTGCTTAAAACTATTAGATATAACTGTATTTAAATAAAATACCAATTCCTTAGTATTCACACACTGTCTTTTGATAATTAGCCAGTATCTAGTAAGTTTATCACTTGAGCTCTCTTGCCTGTCCTAAATTCTACTATCACAAATCTCATGTCTAGAAAAATTATATCATTAATGATTTTTATATACTATATCATTGATGATCTTATATACCATATCATAGGTGATTTTTATATACTATATAATTGATGATTTTCATATATTCTGTGTTATTGATATTTTTATATGATTTTAACCCATTTGTATACAAAAATCATCAATGTTATAGATTTTCCAGACATAAGATTTGTTACAGAAGACTTTAGGACTGGCAAGAGAGTTCAAGTAATGAACTGTGTTATTAGACACAAGCAAATTTTTAAAAGATAATGTGTGAATACTAAGGAACTTGTATTTTATTTAAATCCAGTAAATCATTAAGTCATGAGTTCAGCAGAGCTCAGTTTCTATTTACACTTTTCAATATATGTAGGGCCTTAGTTAATTCATTGCAATTCCATAGCATTAATATTTATGTTCTATTTACTTTATTTTATCTTTTTAGTTTCCACATGAAACTCAATTTTTATAATAAATCCAACTTAAAATTCCTCTACTTGTCTTTTCTTGAAGGTTGAATCTAAGTTCCAGGGACTTATTTTTCTTCATGGGATGGGACAGAGAGGATAACACAGTGTTAATTCTGGTCATCTATCCATGTTGACATCAACAGGCTTGATAGTCCATTTTATTTGTTTGGCAAATCTACACTTATTCTGGCTACAAGTTTCCTTTATGCATATGCCTCTTTGATGGTTCTCAAGGTCATGTTTATACCTCTCAAGCACAGAAAATTTAAACTGGGACTTACTGAGACTCTGTAAGATGAAATCAGCCCTATAAAATTGCCTCATGCAAGGTGCTGCTCCTTCTAATCTACTCTTCTATGTTAAGGTGGCTCAAAGTTCTTGACAAAATTGTTGATCCATCGCAGGAGCCCATTTGAGAAGCAGAACATAGGTATTATTCTAACATCCACATACTTATGATATATTTTTGTAGTATGTGTACCTCTCTTTAGAATGAACTTTGGCATCTTGGTACACATAGCTCCTTATCATAGAGCATAATCAGCTTTTAACTCATTTGATTCCATTGAGCTTAATTTCTGAATTCCTTTACCTCTCTTATGACCCAGATCAGAAGATCTGGGAAGATAAATTTAGATAAACTTATGACTGATCCTTCTGAGCATCCTGGTGTCAGGATAAACTGGGCCTGAAATTGTGCCTGCACTCTACTTGCCAAGTCCTGTATCCTGGTCAGGGACAGCCCAGGGGAAAGGAGCACCTTTCTGCAATTTAGTTGTCATATTTTCTTGTAGGACTCTCTTAAACCTACAGTCATGTCCTGGTAATATTGAGCAAGTTGTAGTTCCCAAATGTGCCCTACACTCTAGTGCCTGGTTGTCTTATATATATAATTTCTCTATCTCATCTTCGTTAGCTTAATAATTTCCACACAGCCTTAGACTTCATCTCAAGGACCAGATCTTTAAGGAAGCCTCTAGCTTTTTTCTCTCTTTTTTGTCCAATAACTAATCCTCTTATGATTATTCTCCATTTAGGGTTGTTGTAGGTATTACGTGAGTTAACACAATGGCCTGCTTAACCACATGTTTTGGGTATATATTCGGCACTAACAAATATAGCACCTCATTTCTTTTCAGTGCTCAATCATACTGGTTAAATAAACAATGATTAATTTGATAAAGAATCTGAAAAGTTATAAATATCCACTCTAAATCACCATTAAAATCTTTTGACAACTTTGACAGCCTGGCTCCTTAGTTTGTCTTCCACCACCTGGTGTCTAAGTTTTACTCTTTCTTCTGCAAATCCCTTGAAATGAATCCTGTAATCCTAGCAGTTTGGGAGGCCGAGGTGAATGGATCACCTGAGGTCAGGGGTTTGAGACCAGCCTAGCCAACATGGCGAAACCCCATCTCTACTAGAAATACAAAAATTAGCTGGGCATGGTGGTGCATGCCTGTAATCCCCACTACTCGGGAGGCTGAGGCAGGAGAATCACTTGAGCCCAGGAGGCAGAGGTTGCAGTGAGCCAAGATCACCCCACTGCACTACAGCCTGGGCAACAGAGTGACACTCTGTCAAAAAAAAAAAAAGAAATTAATCTGTCTTTGCTGTAAATAAATACTTTTTTCACTTTATTATAGCACTAAATATTATTGGCACTGCAATATTTAAATGTTGAGATAATACTACTATATTCTTCTTAGATGCAAGTCAGTTTGTTTCTTTTTTGGAACAGGTACATATATCTATTGATTTTTTTAAAAATGTCATACTGCCTAGGAAAGAATTTAATTGGCAGCATGGAAAATTTTGTTTTGTAAGTCCCAAACTTTAATATATGTATTCCATATCATATGTGTGTGTGAATGTATGTGCACACATATACTTCTGCACGTGTAAACTCAGAGGAGAAAAATAGTATATTCTATGGTACACGGGATTCAACTGTAACTCCCAATGATTCACGTTCTGTTTAATCCTCTTCTTTTGAGAGTGTGCAGGTCCTATGAATATAATGAGAAAGCACTTCTGTGATTATGTTACCTTATATACCAAATGAGATTTTGCAGATGTAATTGGAGTCATTAATTTATTGACTTTGAGTTATGCAAATAAGGAAGTATCCTGAGTGGACTAAACCTAATCAGCGAGCCCTTAAAATGAGGAACCCCTTCCTTTGATGGAGCCGGATACTATGGACCACATGGCTAGGACGTGAGGATGGTCTCTAGAAACACGTTTGGTTCTGAAACTAAAGATATCCTTGGCCAACAACTAGCAAGCAAGGAAGGAACTCAGTCCTACATCCTTAAGGAAAATAATTTTGCCAACAATTATTCTGAATGTGCTTGGAAGAGAAAGCTAAGACTCAGATAATACTGAGGCTCCCGCTGATACCTTGATTTCAGCTTGTGAGACCCTGAGCAGTGGAGCCAGCAAACCTGTGCCCAGACTTCTGATCCGAGGAAAGTGTGAGTGCTATGAACTCCATATTTATGTCTCCCCCAAATGTGTATGTTGAAATTCTAACCCCCAGTGAGATAGCATTAGGAGGTAGAGCCTTCGGGAGGTACTTAGGTTTAGGTGAAGTCCCGAAGATGGGGTCTCCATGATGGAATCGGTGTCCTTATAAGGAGATGAAGAGACCCAATCTCCCTCTTTCTCTCTCTCTGCCATGTGAGGATATACCAAGAAGGCAGCAATCTGCAAACAAGAAGGAGGGCCCTCAGCAGGACCCGAGTTGGCTGGCACCTTGATTTTTGACTTTTCAGCCTCCAGAACTGTGAGAAATAATTTCCTATTGTTTAAGCCACCCAGTCTATGGGATTCCTGTTATAGCAGCCCAAACTGACTAAAAGAGTGATGTCATACATTTGTGTTGTTTTAAGCCTCTAAATTTGTGATACTTTGTCACACAACAGTAGATAACTAATAGAGTTGTTTTGAATACAAGGGTAAGACTCTGTTTTCTGATTGAGACTTATAAGCACCTCACCTGTTGTTAGTGGCTGTGTAAAGAGCACTAAGCCTTCTCCATGAAGTGCTTTATAGAAAAACACCTGTGAAGCACCACAGAGGAGGCCAGGTGCAGCCATCAGCATCGTATTTAGGAGAGAAAGACTATGACATTCACCTTGGACAAGGCTCCACACCAACAGGGTAGATGTGTTTTATTTTAACAGAACCAGTTCACTCTTTCTCCAAGAAGACTATATCCTTCTTTGCTAATGACACCATACCGAGAGAGAAAGAAAGTAATCATGTAAAGTTGCTCTACCCCAAGAAGAATTAAATGGGGCACCTATATTTATCTCCTTTCTCCATGCAAAAATACCTTCAAGTGACACTATGGAGAGCTCATTTAGGCTAACTGCAGAGTGACAGTTTTCTCCTTCTGCAGGAAAAGGATAATCAGCTTCATTAATCCATTCAGACCTCCAGGGTATCATTTATTAAATTGCTCCCAATGTGCCTTATTCACTCCCAGGAAGTAATTTACATACTAGGGAAATTTGATTCACTATCAAGCATATCCCATTTTAAACAATTCTCATTTTCCTTCCTTGGTAGAAGGTAATAACTTATGCAAAATATGTGCAGGCATAGATTATACCATGCTGGGAAATTATTTAAGTATTACTTTCAGGATGCCAATATTCCATAAAAATATCTGCAACATGCAATTCAATGAATTTAATGAAGATTGTTTTTCATGTTTTTCTTGCCCCTTTCCTCCCCCTCCAAACAATTAAAAGAAATCTTACATAAAATTTTAGGATCTGGAAGCATAGACTCATTGACAAACAAGAATGAAAATCATAGAAGTGGCTTCTCTATTTCATTATTCTCTCAGCCTTTCAACTGAATCACAGTTGAGGCTATTTTTTTTGTTGTTGTTATATAAGCCACCGTCTAAACATTTACTTATATTTTTGGGACACTTTGCTTCCTTCCAAACTGAAACACTAGCCATCTGATTCATGCAGGAAACTTTTTGGTTTTAAGTTACATTAATAAAATCATGTTTCAACTGGTTAAGCTCTATTTTCTAGAATAAGAACGCTCTAACGATAACAAATACGTATATGTAGCACTTACCCTATGTCCAGGTATTGTTCCAACTGCTTTACACATCTTCATTCTAATATTCCCTTAAACAAACCTGTGAGGCAGATATTAGTGTCAATGCAATTGAAAAATAAGGAAATGAGTCACAGCAATTAAAAAAACAGAAATTACTCATGAATTTTTTATGATGAATAGTCTCTATCAGACTGCTTGATTTAAAAAATAGAAATATTTCACTCTTGCAGGGATAGCTACTAAACTTCAAGTGGAGTAAATGATAATAGTGAATAAGACAACACATAAAAAGCTCTTCAGTTCTCAAATGTTACCTGCTGCCTTGAGTTGTCAATGAATGGCCTCAAATGAGAAAAATAAGATCTAGTTTCTGCCCTCCCACTAACTAGCTGTGCTTCTTAATACCCCTGTTATCTTACTAGAAAATAAGTTAATGATGCTCGCAAGCATCCTTTAAGCAATGAAACTCTACCTTTTTTTTCCCAAGATGTATCTGTAAATGGTATATGACTTGACTAAAAATTGAAAAATAAAGTTATAACCAGGAATACGTTAAGATGTAAATTCCTCAAAACTCACCCTCTCTGCTGAAACAACATTGCATAATTGTAGGTGGGGGATATATTTTGTAAAGAACAAGAATGGAGTAAATCCTCTAATATATTGAATTTGCTTCTCAACAAATCTGCTATATCCAACTCCAACTGTGATGGCAAAATATTTCTTTATCCAGATAGCACATGACAGCTTATATAATCAATATGCTGGCCAGCAGCAGATTGAGTGTCCTGTCCCCTACCACATTATTTTTCACTGACACAGCAAAATCTTAAGATCAAATAAAGATTGAGCCTTTCACCCCTCTTTCTAGGCTCAGAGCAGTTTGCAGAATGTTGTGAAGTTCACATCATTTCCCCTGCTGCAATCAGTCATGTATTTAAATCTTAAAAGATGTAAATTGTAGGCTTATAAGAGTGAGAGCCCCGTGTCCATGTAAGCAGAAAACATTTTAAATTATTCTCCGACAGTGCAAAAATATAGCTACTGAGATTTTAGCTGATGGACAGTGGGGAATTCGGAATGTAAATCAGAAAGTCAGCCAAGAAACAGGGTTTTTCTTGCTGGTGTGGAGGTTATTATTACTATCCTTTTCTCTCCCTGAGCACTAAGCTTTTAATTTTGGCATTTGCAAGACAATGTTAGGCAAGCCTCTGCACAGTTTCACAGCCTAGAGTATTTTCAATGAAATAACAAATCGATTAAATGAATGTGACTGAAACGTTTGCTGTTCCAGATGTAAATAAATTACTCTTTGGTATTTATTTAACTGCATTCATCAAAAGATTATGTTGGGACATGGGTGTATCAGACTTCTTGAGGAGTGTGGATAGAATATTTGTAAACTAGACTTTTCACCCATGAATCTGAGTGTCTGGAAGGCATTAGTGGAATGCTGAGGAATATGCAGAAGCTGAGCCAAGCATCTGAGCTCATAAAAAACTCAGTTGAGAAAAGAGCCACCAAGATGAGACTGCTACCAGCTGAGACACATGACAAGGACACCATGATTTTGTAGGAATTTGTTTCTCAACAGAAAGCCTATTTGTGATACTTTAAAGCTGTGTGTAGATGTTAGTGCTTAATGATGCTGAAAGACTGAGGAAAGGTATGGAATAGAACAATTTTTTAGAGTACATGCTCTGCAATCAGATAGTACTAGAGCCCAATGTTGCTTCTTTTTCTAACTTGTGTTGTGACATTTGGCAAATAGCCAAATAGTTTTAAGTGCTTGGCTTTAAAATTGGGGAATATAACTTATTTTTTTTCCTACAAATTATGCAAGAGAATTCATAAAAATACACTGCATGTTTCTTGGCACCAAAACATCAAAAAATAAATTTTATTATGGTGAGCTAGTTCCAAAAGGCTTGGAAGAAGTTGAACAAATGCTTTATCTGACCTTCAGAGGAACTGAAACTATTACATTCTATAATGTTGGGGTAGAATTTAGACAGGGGACCCATCTTTCAGGCACTTAGTGAATGTTGACAAAAAGAAAGAAATGGCTTCCACTTAAAAAGAATTGGAAAGACTATAGATTTTATTTTACCTTGCTTTGGAAAGAGTTTTTAAAGGTAATATTACAGAACTGACTATAACTTGGTCTTAAAAAATAAAGTAGTTGGGGATTCTCATTTTAAAAATTTGCATTTGTAATGACTAATTTCGATCGGGCAAATAATTACTGACAATCCTCTGTAATATTTTTACTCCATATTTAAAGGTTTCTAACCTTTTATGAAGAGAATATATCATTTCATATTTCTTTTGTGTTTTAGCCCATACTAGGCTGAAGAGTTGGTAAGTATGTCATTAAAACTTGTTGAAATTAAAGAAATGGCTGAATCATAGAAGAAGAGATTTTGAATATATCTTAAAGAGAAGTGTGTTTTTTTAACAGCCAAGAAAGGTGATGTAGATATGATTCCAGACATTTGAAGGAAACTCATTTTTTAAAAATATTTGGACTACTATTCAGTTATAATTGTATGAGTATTTGCTAAGGAGAAAAACTAAGCAATTATTGATGGAGAACTAAAATACTAATTGTAACTAATGTTATTATTTAAAGGTTCTGATGAAAGCATTTTATTATTTCAAAGAATCAAAGGCTATAATGCTTTATAATATTATAAATTTTAGACTAAATTTTAAAAAATCATGATGTTTAGAATGTATAAACCCAAGTAGTTTTGTTCAAAGTAATAAGTAGATTAGTTCTGTGAAAGCTGTCTATACTGCAATTTTCTCTAAAGCAAATTATATTTTGCTATTTATTTCTATGACAAAAAAAAATCCCATGAAAAATATCTCAGGAGAGAGAGATACAAAATGAAAAATGGATTTGGTTGATGCTTAGGGGTGTAGTCATCCTGTGAAGGTGTAAGAATACTTTTAGGATTTTTGTAAAACTTCTTTATTGAGTCTGGGTTTTATGCTTACATGCTTGAGAAACAGTCATGTTGGTCATCATTTGCTGCCTCTGCTACTTCTCTCTCCTTTGCTGACCTAGAGGACCCAGAATGTTTTAGGATGCTTTCATATACTTTCTCCCATCATATATACATATAGCTCTCTTTAAACTCCTCAAAACACTGCGAACCTTTACCAAAGCTTTACTTAACTAGCCTCAGTACTAAAAACAAAATACGTGTCATGAGCAAGTAATTCACAATTTTTTTTTCTTTTTCTTTTTCTTTTCTTTTTTCTCTCTTTTTTTTTTTTTTTTTTTTTTTGAGACAAGAGTATCGCCCGGTCGCCCAAGCTGGAGTGCAGTGGCTCGATCTCAGCTCACTGCAACTTCTGCCTCCTGGGTTCAAGCGATTCTCCTGCCTCAACCTCCCAAGTAGCTGGGACTACAGGCACGTGCCACTACACCCAACTAATTTTTTGTATTTTTAGTAAAGACAGGGTTTCACCATGTTGGCCAGGCTGGTCTCGAACTCCTGACCTCAGGTGATCTGCCAGCCTTGGCCTCCCAAGTAATTCACAATTTGTAAACATAATATGAAAATTTTATGGTCCTAGAAGAAGCCCACATAGCAAAGGAAACGTTCAAAGTGTGTGCAATGGTCTGTGTGCAAAAGAGATAAACCTACTGTGCAAGACCCAATTTAAGACCTGCTTATTTCCATCTGGAAATGACTGCCACATATATGGGTTTTTTTCAGAGGGTAACCTTTGCCCCACCTAATCATCATTAAGTATTCTAAAATTCTGAATAATTCAAATTTGAATGACACTTGTGGTTGACAATGAACACTAGCGAAGTAGTGAAAATCTGAATTGATTTTAAAAATTGATGTAAATATTCTAATTCTTTCCATGTGTAGGCTGAGAACAATCTAATTTACACGACTTAGCATAATACCATCTTAGTTTGAAGTTTTTGCATTTAGATATACAATGACTATTTTCTTTGTAAAAAGTCGTTGGACTTGATATTTTGCTCTATAAAACTTATGAGACAGAGTCAATTCTGCTATCTTTTCCAAAAGAAAGTCATTCTTAAGAATTGACATCTACCATCCCCAAAATTGTAAAATGTCCACAAGCTCCAGAAATTCACCATGTGGCTATTAAAACAAATGAATTAATAGATATTAAGACATTTTTTAAATCACTCAACTGGGTAACCCATTGCACTAATAATTCATAGCATAGTTAATTATTCAGTAAATCACAGGATGAAAATTATACATGCCATAAGGTGACTATCATATGCATTTACATATATAGTTACAAATACATAGAAGAAGAGCTAGAAGAACGTGCTTCTAATGATTATTTTATTAGGTCATATAACTAGGAGTTTTTATTAATTATTTTTGTTTTTTTATTTTTTCTAATGTTGTTACTTGTATAATAAAGAGTTGGAACTTAGAACTTAAAATAAGAAACACTCTAAGAAGAAAATTAGGCAAAGCCACTACTCATAACTATGAGGTTCAGGTTTGGGATTTTTTTTATTGTTAGAATTGATGGTAGAAAAGGTATAATGTCGCCTAAGAAAGCTTTCAAATATAATTGTCTTAGACTGTTTGTGCTGCTACAACAGAATGCCTAAGACTAGGTAATTTATAAAAAATACAAATTTATTTCTCAAAGTTTTGAAGGCTGGGAAGTCAAAGATCAAGGCACTGGTAGTGTTGGTGTCTGGTAAGGGTCTCCTCGTATAATAAAGAGTTGGAACTTAGAACTTAAAATAAGAAACACTCTAAGAAAAAAATTAGGCAAAGCCACTACTCATAACTATGAGGTTCAGGTTTGGGATTTTTTTTATTGTTAGAATTGATGGTAGAAAAGGTATAATGTCACCTAAGAAAGCTTTCAAATATAATTGTCTTAGACTGTTTGTGCTGCTACAACAGAATGCCTAAGACTAGGTAATTTATAAAAAATACAAATTTATTTCTCAAAGTTTTGAAGGCTGGGAAGTCAAAGATCAAGGCACTGGTAGGGTTGGTGTCTGGTAAGGGTCTCCTCTCCACTTTCAAGTTGGATCCTCCAGAGAGAAGGAATACTGTTTTTCGCATGGCAGGAAAGTGGAGGTGGTGGGGCACAAACTTGTCCATTCATAAAGAACACACTCCCACTATAATGGTGTCAATCCATCGAAGAGGAGAGAACCCTCATGAACTAATCCCATCTTGTTTTCTTTTTGAGTCGGAGTCTCATTCTGTTGCTCAGACTGGAGTGCAGTGGCATGATCTTGGCTCACTGCAACCCCTGCCTCCCAGGTTCAAGCAATCCTCCCACCTCAGCCTCTCATGTAGCTGGGATTACACATGTGTGCCACCACGCCTGGCTAATTTTTGTATTTTTAGTAGAGATGGGGTTTCACCTGGTTGGCCAGGCTGGTCTCGAACTCCTGACCTCAAGTGATCCTGCCCACCTCAGCTAATCACATCTTAACAGACCCACCTCTTAACACTGTTACAATGGCAATTAAGTTCCCGATACATGCGTTTTGGGCGATCCATGCCATAGCAATGATCAACTGCTTTATCATCCACGACATAGTGATATACTAAGAGAGATCATAGAACCTGTTTTGACTTCAAAAAGGAAACACAGGCTGTATAATTTAGATGGCTCTAGAAGCATTTGTCTTGTGTATACAAAATGTATTTTGTCTTGTTAGTTTTATTAACAATTGTATCTACAAGGAGATTATGCAGTAAGTTTTATATACTATCTTGGAGTATTTTGGAAATTATAAAATTGCAGCGTTTGTGTAAGATTATGATTTTTCACAGTCTAGGTATTTTCTCTTTTCTCAATTTTACTAAATGGCCCTGATAAAAGCTATAGGAAGTTAAACTGGATGGATGGATGTTATTCATATTAGTAATGGTTTGAATAGAGTTGTTTTTTAAAGCAAAGACTTATGAAAATAAGGAACAAGTATTATATCTTCACTTTGGAGAATATTTTCTGAATGAAGAATTCATGATTTCAACTATGCAACTGTCATAGCTATTTATGAAAATCCACTCTCCTTGTAGATTCAATTGTTAACAAAATTAACAAGACAATACATTTTGTGCTTCAACAGTCTTTCCAAATTATCTGTTCAAATTAACGATGATAATTGAATGAAAGGGTGAACGACTACAAGCTAAAAATAAAATTTCAATGAGCAAAAAACAATGGTGTCTATAGCAAGAAGCTACATACAAGTTCACAATCTGGAACTTGTTATGCCCAATAACTCTGCCTTTTTCAAAGCATTGCTTTCTTGTAACTTCGGAAATTTTAGTATCTCTTCTTCTGTTCTAGTTAATTTATGTGAGGAACAATATTCTAGCAGATCCTTCACCAGATTAAAACTTCCAAACTTCCGACAATATGAGATTTTCAAAGTGATCATTACTCTTTTGCTTTTTACTTCCACACTTATATAGAATCCCAACAAATGTTGAACCCACATATTTACTCTCCTAAAGTTGCTACGGAAAAAGCATGCATTGAACTGGCTGGATTCATCTTTAAATGCAAAAAGATAAACGTAAAGTGGGTAATGCTATCAAGTAGTCCAACTTTTTCTCCATTAAATTTGTTTTATTTTGCTCTCACATAATTATTTTGTATATTCAAGTATCTCCTCAAACCACCTATGTCTTCTCCAATCTTCACTTATAGTGTGTAACCTTGACTCAAAACTCATTTTGAAACTGGATCTCAATCAATATTACCTCTCTAAATATTCTATCACCAACCGAATAGTCATACTTATATGTGGTCCTGAATCCTTCATCTAATTTTACCATGTAAAATTGTTCTGTGTGATTAGTTATTATCAAAGGCCATTTCTTTTATATTTGCTATAGCGCTCATCCTCTCTTAATTACTTATGAACTATACTCCAGCTGTTATTGGCGCACACAAACATAGAGTGTTTGGTCATGTACTTCTTTTGGTCATCTGCCTCATTTCCCTTCTTTCAGTTACTGCGAGAACATATTTCACATGAAAAAATACTGAGATTTTCTCCCCCACCAATGACATTTTAAATTACCTAATACAATTTTCAACATACGCTTTAGAATTCTTGTCAAGGTCACAGAGAGCATTTTCATGGCTAAAATCAATAGAAGTTGCTTTGTCTTCATTTTAAGCAACCACTAAGCAGTGTTTAATACAATTGAGCTCTTTGAAAAAATTACTGGTATTCCTCATTGGATATTGCTTCTCTATATTCTTCAACAGTTGCTGGTTCTGAATAGAATTTAAACTCTGGGCTATTTTAGGAAACATCCCTGAGTCCCTTTTGGTTTTCGTTGTTCTTTTCTATCTACATTCTTTCCCTAGGTCATTCCACCTATATTTAACTTCCCCTATGTACTTTTGACTATCTATCTATTTATCTATCTATCTATCTACATATCTATCTATATATCTATTTTTCTTCTATCTCTAATGTCTCCTGATGTTCCAACTGTATATAAAACTTACTGCATAATTGCTATACTTGAATGTCTAAGTCATAATAAAATTTACATGCCCGCAATTTTTTACTGTATCTTCAACTTAATCCTTAACCAATCTTACCCATTTCACCTAAGTGTTCTAGCTAAATTTTAGAATCCCTCCTTCTTCTTTAACTCTAATGGTTCTACCTTAATGCAAAAAAAAAAAAAAAAAAAGACTTATTTCTCTTGTGGATGACTACATTTATGTCTAAATAAGTGTTTGTTTTGTTATAGTAGTTACTAAGCAAATATTTTCAAATAAAAGAAACTCCATAGGTGTCTTCAAAGCTGCTTCTTTATTTAGGAATAAGAGAAATTAAGAAATCAAGAATTTTTATGATTTTGTGGATATGAACTTAGTTGTAAGAAATAAAAACAAAATTTTAAGAATTTTTTTTTTTTTATGTAACAAGGAGTCAAGAAGTACAGAATCCAAGGTTTGTATGTCAACTCAGTTTTCGTAGAAAGAATTCAGGCTTCCTCTATCACTGCTACAGGAGGACCACCATAGTCTCCAGTATTATACACTTAGGTAACAATGACTAAGCAAGAAGCAAAAAGTCAGTGCAGTGTTATTTTTCCTTGTAATATTGTAATGAGAAGAGCCCATTAGTTTGTGGTGTTCAGGTGACAACTGCTTGATATAAGTACACTTTGATAAACTGATGCTTATGAAAGTCCTCCCCCTTGCTTCTCTCTGTTCCCTCCCTCCTCTCCTAATATCTCAGATACCCTGAGTGTGTTATGTAATTAAGTGACCTTTTGACATGCTGTGACAAATTTAGGAAAACAAATTTTCTTTTCGGTAACACCTATGACTGCCGATTAGATTTCATATCCAACCAGTTTGGTGAACAGATACAAAATGTAGCCTCTCTTTAATTAAAAAATAATTTTCACCTTTAACCTTGCTGTTTCTTCTATTTTCTCATCATCACCAACCTCTGGCTCATGAAGCCCATCTTCCCCATTGATGAGAGCATTTATAAACTTTACTCTCCTATATTTGGTGTTAGTCATGTCATTAGTGTTGCTATCTAGTACATTTATGTGAGGAAGACAAAGGAGCAGGTGGCTGGTTTCTTTGGAGTAGATAGAAACAACTATTCTCACTTTTTCCCCTTTATAACCAGGAAGAACTACAAAGGTCCTCATTAGCTTCTCCTTATTTCTTATTGGCTGTACCATATGCTCACTTTATGCCAATAGATGGCAAAGGAAACAAGACCGCTATGATTGACTTAGCCTGATCATGATTAACTCTTTCAAGGCTTATCAGAGAATTGGAAGAAAAAAGGAGGAAGTTCTGTGAATTAAATAACTAACAATGCCTTATACAATGGCCATGTAAAAAAGATTGGCAAATTTAGCAAATAAAAGTACAGATTGTCCAGTTAAATTTGAACATCAGATTAACAAAAAAGTAATTTTTAGAATGAGTATATAGTTATTTAGTACAAGTATATAAATATATACTTCTACTAAAAATGATCATTATTCAATGCTGATCTGTGATACGGTTTGGCTGTGTTCCTACCCAAATCTCATCTTTATTTGTAGTTCCTATAACCCCCACATGTCATAGGAGGGGCCTGTGGAAGGTAATTAAATCATGGGAGCAGTTACCCCCATGCTGATGTTGTTGCGATATTGAGTGAGTTCTCATGAGATCTGTTGGTTTTATAAGGGGCTTTTCCCCCTTTGCTCAGCACTTCTCTCTCCTGCTCCTGCTGTCATGTGAAGGACATGTTTGCTTCCCCTTCCACCATGATTGTAAGTTTCCTGAGGACTCCTCAGTCATGCAGAACTGTGAGTGAATTAAATCTCTTTCCTTTATAAATTACCCAGTCTCGTGTAGCTCTTTATAGCAGTGTGAGAATGGACTAATACAATCTGAAACCCACATTCAACTGAACTTCCTGTATTTTACCTGGCAAACCTATGTTTAACCAAACTGTGAAGAAGCAAATATTTGTTATTGTTCCATCCCAAATGGTGTTTCAGGGCACTCTTATTCCATGAAATATTCATCACCAAAGTACACCAAAGTCTTTTCACTGACACAGAAGTTTAAGTCTCCCATTACAGTCTCTTTGCAAGCATCCCCTCTGCTTCTATCATTCTGTATTCAGAAATTTTCTTTTGATCCTGAGCAGTAAGGTATGAAGAAGAAAGCTTAGGAAGAGAAGAGCTAGAACTAATTTAAACTTGGTTGACTTTCTATCTATGTGACCATGCCTATGCCACTGCTTAAAATGCTATGACTATATCTGAGATTAAAGTAGCTTAAGATATTTTTAGAAGATGGCATGATAATGTATTATATTATTATATGCAATAAATAAGTACTAAGGAGTCTTTTATTCTGAAGCTTGCTAATCAGACAACTTCATTTTGCTGAGGCATTAACTGCTCTCTTCCACTCACAAAATATATGTTGGAAATTCTTAAAAAACAATATTGTTAATATTGTCAAACAGATAATTTTAAACTTCATAGTAGCTTCCAGATGACTGTATTGTCAGTCAACTCATCAACTCTTAAAACACACAAAATTTAGACAATTACCTGCTCTACTTCTGTTCAGTATATGCTACTGCCTGCTTTCCAAGGAATAGTACAACCATTTAACAGTTCCAAAGAGTATCATGTGACCAAATTTACCTTCCCGTTGGATCCCCAATAAAGATTCAAGGAAGAACAGTCACAAAGTTTGCAGATGTTTCTAACTTCATCCTGTAATATTTTGGAATAGAGGGAGTTTTCCATGGGCTGAGTCCCACTTGAGCTAATATTAATGAATCTTAGAATATATTATTATCTTAGAATATAATATCTAAGTGTGTTCCAACACAAGTGTAAATGAGTATTCTCTTATATCAAGGAGGTCTAACAGATGGCTATCAAAGACACTGCTATTTAGCTAAGTTTCTGTTACCACATCAATGTAATAGAAGAGCATGATCAACCTCTAAGTTTTACCCCATCTGGAAGCAGTTTATCTCCAAGCTCTATAGTTTTTAAAGATCTTTTTTAAGTCACTATAAAGACAGAATGAGAGAGAGAAAAAGAGAGACAATTTCCCTTCTGAACCATGCAAAAATGTGGCCTTGAAGTCAGATGGTTTTAGGTTTAAAAATAAAAATTTGAGACACAATGGGCAGTTAACAGGGAAATATAGCTCTTCAACCAGTCATATAGAAAATATGTTTACATTTTTGGCCTTACCTACCTTAAGATTTTTTTGCTTTTTGTTTTCATTAAATATCATATATCTAAAGGCTATATTAAAACTTTACATAGTTTTATCTTATATGCATAACTAAGGGAAAGCCTACAGTAGCCACTAAAAAAGAGCAATACTGAAATTATTTTGCCATTGTAGTGATCTGCTTCATATTGTAAGTATAGACATAACTTGGTGTATCTAATAAGTATACTATTATAACCCACATGGCCATATTGCTATTAAAATTTTGAAATTTTTATTTTTCACACAAAATTCAAGTGAGCCTATTTGTAGTTTAACTCATAAGACACCAAAAAAAAAACCCACAAAAAAAACCAAAAGTGCATGTTTCAATTTTGAAAGATCTTTAAAATAAATTTCGATGGTGCATGGGGCAACATTCAGTCATCAGAGAATATTTCTTATAAAATACAATGAGTTAATTTATAGTCAAGATTTAAAAAGACACTTATATTTTGCTTCTAAAATATTATTTCCGAGTATAATCTTTGAAAATTGAATACTTAGAGTAAATGCTCACATTTATAAGAAACATTTAAATTTAGTGTCAGTCCGCCTTTACATCTCTATTCAAACCAGCAAAATGAGATGAGGTCATTCCCTTTCAAAAAGTGTGAAAACTCAAAGCATTAATTTACTGTCTTATTTATTCTTTTAATTCAAGATTACTAAAAATGACCCTTTGCCTTCATTAAAATTGGTTACTTAAATAAGCATTGCAATTAAATTCTAACCACTGAATGTCAATTACTTGTAGATTAGGAATACATTTATTTTTATCACTAAGGAAATTGATTTTGTATGTCTTTTCAAACACAATGAGATCTAAGCATTTATCTCATTTGGATAAGATGAGAGTCCAAGTGCATTCCTCAAGTACATTTCTTTTTATATTTTTTTTCTTAGCTTTGAATATTATGGGTTTTTTTTGGTGTGTTTTTTATTTTATTTATTATTTATTTATTTATTTATTATTATTATTTTTTTTTTGAGGTGGAGTCTCGCTCTGTTGCCCAGGCTGGAGTTCAGTGGTGCGATCTCAGCTCACCACGACCTCGGCCTCCCGAGTTCAAGCAATTCTCCTGCCTCAGCCTCCCAAGTAGCTGGGACTACAGGCACGCACCACTGTGCCTGGCTAATTTTTGTATTTTTAGTAGAGACGGGGGTTCACTATGTTGTCCAGGATGGTCTCGAACCCCTGACCTTGTTATCCTCCTGCCTCAGCCTCCCAAAGTGCTGGGATTACAGGCGTGAGCCACTGCACTGGCCTTACGTTATATTTGTGGGCCAGTTGTTTTAATGTATTTTCATATATATGGCTGTTATGGTACTCTAAGTGTAAATTAAAACATAATTACATTTCTTGTCATTTCTTTACAACAACTCTCTGACAATGCTTTACCCTTGGATATAATAATGATATTAAAAAGATGCTTCACTTATGTTTAATAGAATTTTTTGAAAATACTTCTAGAATTATCTTTAATGAGCTGTTACTTTCATGCAGCAGTTACAGATAGAATATTTCTTTAATGCAAATTTTAAAAGAATCAAAATATAATTTCTTAGAGCTAATTATTCCCAGAAAATGCTTTGGAATGTGTTTTGAAAGTTGTATTAAACAGTGAACAAAGCACAATTTATTTTCTCCAGTTATAAATTGCTCACTTTATAAAAGATTTATATTCAGGGAGTTCTAGAAGATTTTTATAAAAGCATGGAAGAAAATAAGAAAGGGTAGGATGGAAAATGATTCAAGGAAATGGAGAAGAAAACAATCTAATTCACTTGGGGAATGACATT
Organism: Homo sapiens; assembly: GCF_000001405.40. Lineage (NCBI taxonomy): Eukaryota > Metazoa > Chordata > Mammalia > Primates > Hominidae > Homo > Homo sapiens. The sequence continues at coordinate 102,452 of NW_021159994.1, read as the reverse complement.
TAAATTTAGAAATATTTTCACTGATAATTTGCTACTTTTAAATTCTGTAGACCAGCATCTATTAGCTAAAACATCTTTTAGTTTTCTCCACAAATATGATCTATTATATTTGGTATTTTTTTTTACAAGTAACCAAAAACTCCAGAGTCAAGATAGCTAGCTGATAATGGTATTTATTATCTCACATAATAAAAAGTTATGCTGGTGAATTTATATCCAAATAATGTCACTAGGAGCTCATATTCTTTCCATCTTTTTATCCTCCCAACCTCAGCAGGTCTATTAGTTCACCTCTTGGCTTCCAGATTGCTGCAGTAACTCCAAGGATTACAACCACGTGCACTATTGTTCGGAGGCCAAAAAAAGAAACACTCTTTCTTTTTGTGTCAAAAAGCTCATTAATAACTAAAATACATTTCCTAGAAGCACAAAAAATTTATCCAATGCCTCATGGGTCATAATTGCATTGCATTAGCTATCAAGTTTAATTATTGGAAAGGGAGATTCAAATTATTATTATTGTTTTAGTTTAATTAAGATTCACTTTTAATGGCTGGGTCTGGGGACAATGTTTTTTTCTGAGGAATGTAAACAATTATGAACACACAGAAAAATCAAGGGGCAATTAACAAGGGGGAAGGGGAAATTGCCTTTTGGATAAGTAACACCCATCTACAGCCGTGCAATTGTTAATCATGCAATTAATAAAAAATAACAATAAAAATAAATCAAAGTAACTCAAAAGTATAAATTTTTTTAAGTCCAGCTGTTACGTGACATAATCATTTCACCAGGGCATATCCTAATAATCAAATCACATTTCCAGCTTTAGTTCATGTTGTATTTTTGAAGCATGATGACTATAAACTTATGTTCAGATGAAAACATTTTTCCTTCCTAATCAGAGCTATTTAAAGAGATCAATTTTTTTGAGATGTGTAGGTCAAAAGTACTTCTAATCTTAGGAGAACTTCTGAAAGAATTACTTCAAGAATTCTGAAAGAAAAGAAAAAGGAAGAAAAGAAAAGAAAAAGGAAGAAAAGAAAGGAAAGGAAAAGAAAAGAAAGAAAGAAAGAAAAGAAAGAAAGAAAGAAAAAGAAAGAAAGAAAGAAAAAGAAAGAAAGAAAGAAAGAAAGGAAGGAAGGAAGGAAGGAAGGAAGGAAGGAAGGAAGAAAGAAAGAAAAAGAAAGGAAGGAAGGAAGGAAGGGGAGAAAGAAAGGAAAGAAAGAAATAAAGAAAGAAAAGAGAGAAAGGAAGAGAAAGAAAGAAAAAGAAAGAAAGAAAGAAGGAAAGAAAAGAAAGAAGGAGGAAGGAAGGAAGGAAAAGAGAGAAGGAGAAGGAACTAGAATCTTTTTCTTTCTATAGCAGAGAACTTCCTTATTTAGTCTGTTTTCATTTCATCTTTTCATTTCATGTTATTTCATTCCACTCCTTTTGTTTCCATGCCCTCTTTAACTCTCCTTTCTAAATGTGTTTGTGCCCATGGCATATACAGGGTGCTGTGCTAGACCTACTAGAGGGGAAGGAGCACTGTATGGGTAAAGTTCTTAGAGAATAGAGGCCAGTGCTGTGGTTCATGCCTGTAATCCCAGTGCTTTGAGAGGCTGAGGTAGAAGAATTGCTTGAGGCCAGGAGTTTGAAACCATCCTCGGCAGCATAGAGAGACCCCAATCTCTACAATATATTTTTTTAATTAGCCAGGCATAATGGCATGTGCCTATAGTCCTAACTAGTTGGGAGGATCACTTGAGCCCAGGAGTTCAAGGCTTCAGTGAGCTATGATTGTGTCACTGCACTTCAGCTAGAGTGACACAGTGAGACCCTTTCTCTGAAAAAAAAAAAAAAAAAAAAGTAAAAAGTTCTTTGAGGATAATATGAACCTCAAGAATCTTACTATCTCCAGGACAGAGGTGGACACATAAGGAACCACACAAAATTCAAGGCAGAATGTCATAAAAATGAGGAAAGGGAAACTTTATGAGTAGGTAAAGATTGAATTAATAAAGAAATATTTGGTTTGGACAGTAGTCTACCTAATACGTTTTATCTTTGGCACCAGACCAATACTTAGCTAATAAAAAAAGATAATGATAATAAATAATGATAATTTTAGGTAGAGGTGAGAATTATTCAGTAATTTATTCAATTTATGTGCTAAACATTGTGCATGTATTACCTCATTTAATCCCACAATTACTTGAATTAGTTGCTATTTTTCATATTTTACAGGGGAGTAAAGTTACAGTTCAAATTATAGAACACCTTGCCAGGAATTACAGGACTGGCATCTCCAGAAATTATTCCAAAGCTGATATTCTTATCAATTAGACTTTTCTGAAACCCATGGTTGATATTTAATTCATAATTTGCAATTAAAATTAACTATGCATTTTATGATAGGCAAAAATTCTTGATTTGGAAGGAAACTGAAAAAATATATTATGCCTACTTCTGTTTTTACATAAGGACTGCATGTTATTTAAATCTGTTGGGAAGTGTTATATAGATTGACACAAAGGAACTTTATTTCCAAGAACACTATAGTTGTTTATCTTCTCAACTACCTGGTATGGCATATTTTTCTTTAGTAATTTCCTACCATAGTAAAAGTGACTTTTTATTGTTAAAGGTCACTGACTTGAAGAAACCTTGTTTTTTATTTACAGAAGGAAGTCTAAGACTACTCAAAGCCTAACAATAGCTAAATGCAAAACACAGTTCTGAGGATTATTTATAGCAGAGTAAATAAAGCTCTTAAGCTTGAAAGCATGATTTACATGTTTCAACAATTAATTTGCAATGTAAGGTTGAAAAGTACATATATTCCATGCATATTTGAGACATCTTGGGGCTATGGTACAAAACTAGATTGGACACCAAAATGTGTTAATGTAAGAAGTAATGATAGTAAAGCAGTTTTGAATAGTAACTCTTGAAAAACGTGGCCCAGGCTGTTATTATAAAGGGCAAAGTTTAAAACAAAGTCCTTTGAATATATCCTGAAAATAACTTTGCTGATCTCAAACCATAGGCCTTTTTCAAGGTTAAGATTTTGTATGGAAATTGTTAATGTGAAATAATCATCATTATAATAATTAACTGATTACTTGATATGAGCAAGTCACCAGATAAATATAATGTATAATTTCCTTTACTTCTCACAATAGTCTTCTAAAATAACTAGAAATGTTTTCCTCATTTTGAGATATTTTAAAAAGTAAAACTTAGAAATAATTGTGTCAAAATAACACATTGTAACTTGTGGAACAGGAGTCAGAGCCCAAGTCTGAAGAACCAGAAGACCTTAGAACCTATCAATCTTTAGTTTCTTTCTTTATGAAAAAATGGGATTTCTCAAATTCTCTTCAGATTTACTAAGGAGTTCTTGTTTTCTATGAGAGATGTAAACCAAAATTAGAATTCTAAGACCCAGCTGACTGCATGGACTTCTCTTCTTGGCCAAAGGCATTCCAAAGAAATCTGAAAACTCATTCAGGCCATGGTGAGAAGTGGGAGTTGGACATGTTTCCTCATACTCCCTTCCTTTGGAATTCAGGCACAACTGACCAGAATTAACATAAAAACAAAGATCTTAAGACTGACAGACAGATTCTTTGTAGCAATAAGATACTAAATTCCATCATAACTCTAGTAGAGCATCACATGATAGCAGGTCCTGAAGGATATAAAAGTATTTACCTCAAAATATATTTATTTGAAATAGTTTATTTTTTTGTCCTTTTTTATTTGGATCTTTTATTTTAAGTTCATGGGTACATGTGCAGGATGTGCACATTTGTTACATAGGTAAACGTGCGCCATGGTGGTTTACTGCACAGATTAACCCATCACCCAGTATTAAGCCCAGCATTCATTAGCTATTCTTCGCAATGCTCCCTCAACAGACACACAGGTGCCCAGTGTGTGTTCTTCCCTCCCGTGTGTCCATGTGTTCTCATCATTCAGCTCACTTATAAGTGAGGGCACGCAGTGCTTGTTTTTTCTGTTCCTGAATTAGTTTGCTGAGAATAATGGTTTCCAGCCCTGTCCATGTCCCTGAAAATTGCAAAGAACATGATCTCATTCCTTTTTATGGATTCATAATATTCCATGTTGTATATGTACCACATTTTCTTTATCCAGTCTATCACTGATGAGCATTTAGACTGATTCCATGACTTTGCTATTGTAAATAGGGCTGCATTGAACATACATGTACATGTGTCTTTATAATAGAATGATTTATATTTCTTTGGGTATATACCTAGTAATGAGATTGCTGGGTCAAATGGTATTTCTGCCTCTAGGTCTTTGAGGAATTACCACTGTCTTCCACAATGGTTGAACTAATTTATACTCCTACCAACAGTGTAAAAGTGTCCCATTTTCTACACAACCCCTCCAGCATCTGTTTTTTGGCTTTTAAATAATAACCATTCTGACTGGTGTGAGATGGCATCTCATTATGGTTTTGATTTGCATTTCTCTAATGATCAGTGATGTTGAGATTTTTTTTCATATGTTTGTTGGCCACATGTATTTCTTCTTTTTTTTGTTTTTTGTTTTTTGTTTTTGTTTTTGTTTTTCTTTTTTGAGATGGAGTCTTGCTGTGTCACCAGGCTGGATTGTGGTGGCACAATCTCGGTTCGCTGCAACCTCCGCCTCCCAAGTTCAAGCGATTCTCCTGCCTCAGCCTCCCCAGTAGGCTGGGACTACAGGTGTGCACCACCATGCCCAGCTAAGTTTTGTATTTTTAGTAGAGATGGGGTTTCACCATGTTGGCCAGGATGGTCTTGATCTCTTGACCTCATGATCTTCCTGCCTCAGCCTCCCAAAGTGTTGGGATTACAGGCATGAGCCACCACACCCAGCCTGTCTTCTTTTTAGAATTATCTGTTCATATCCTTTCACTACTTTTTAACAGGGCTATTTTTTTCTTGTAAGTTTAAGTTCCTTGTAGAATCTGGATATTAGACCTTTGTCGGATGGACTGCAAAAATTTTCTCCCATTCTGTAGGTTATCTGTTCACTCTGATGATAGTTTCTTTTGCTGTGCAGAAGCTCTTTAGTTTAATTAGATCCCATTTGTCAATTTGGGCTTTTGTTGCGATTGCTTTTGGCATTTCAATCAGAAAATCTTTGCCTGTGCCTATGTCCTGAATGGTATTGTCTAGATCTATTTCTAGGGTTTTTACAGTTTTGGGTTTTACACTTAAGTCTTTAATCCATCTTGAGTTAGTTTTTTGAGTATGGGATAAGGAAGAAATCCAGTTTCAATTTCTTGCATCTAGCTGGCCAGTTCTCCCAGCACAATTTATTAAATAGGGAATCCTTTCCCCATTGCTTGTTTTTGTCACCTTTGTCAAAGATCAGATAGTTGTTGGTGTGCAGTCTCATTTCTGAGTTCTCTATTCTGCTCCATTGGTCTACGTGACTGTCCTTGTACCAGTACCATGCTGTTTTGGTTACTGTATCCTTGTAGTATAATTTGAAGTCAGGTAGCATGATGCCTCCAACTTTGTTTTTTTGCTTAGGATTGTGTTGTCTATTCATGTTCTATTTTGGTTCCACATGAATTTTAAAATAGTTTTTTTATAATTAACTGAATAAAGTCTGTGGTAGTTTATTGGGAACAGCATCGAATCTATAAATTACTTTGTGCTGTATGGCCATTTTCATGATACTGTTGCTTTTTATTCATGAGCATGGAATATTTTTCCATTTGTTTGTATCCTCTCTGATTGCTTTGAGCAGTGGTTTGTAGTCCTCCTTAAAGAGGTTCTTCACTTATCTTGTTAGTTGTATTCTTTGGTATTTTGTTCTTTTATAGCAATTGTGAATGGAAGTTCATTCATGATTTGGCTCTTGGCATGCTTGTTGGCGTATAGGAATGCTAGCAATTTTTTGCATATTGATTTTATATTCTGAGACTAACAAAATTGCATATCAGCGTAAGAATCTTTGGGGCCAAGACAATGGGGTTTACTAGATATAGAATCATGTCATCTGCAAACAAAGATAATTTTACTTCCTCACTTCCTATTTGGATACCCTTTACCTTTTTCTCTTGCCTGATTGCCTTAGTCAGAACTTCCAATACTATGTTGAATAAGAGTGGTGAGAGAGGGCATCCTTGTCTTGTGCTGCTTTTCAGTGGGAATGCTTCCAGCTTTTGCTCATTCATTATGATACTGGCTGTGGGTTTGTCATATACAGCTCTTGTTATTTTGAGGTATGTTCCTTCAATATCTACTTTATTGAGAGTTTTAAATATAAAGGGATGCCAAATTTTATCAAAAACCTTTTCTCTGTCTATTGAAATAATAATGTGATTTTGTCTTTAGTTCTGTTTATGTGATGAATCACATTTATTGATTTGCTTAAGTTGAACCAACCTTGCATCCCAGGGATAAAGCCAACTTGATTGTGGTGAATAAGCTTTTTGATATGCTGCTGGATTCAGTTTGCCAGTATTTTATTGAGGATTTTTGCATCGATGTTCATCAAGAATATTGGCCTGAAGTTTTTTTCTTGTTGTTTTTTTGTGTCTCTGCCAGATTTTGGTATCAGAATGATGCTGGCTTCATAGAATGAGTAAGCAGGCAATCTCTCCTCTTCAATTTATTGAAATTGTTTCAGTAGAAATGGTACAGCCCTTCTTTGTACCTCTGATAGAATTCTGCTATGAATCCGTCTAGTCCAGGGCTTTTTTTTGGTTGGTAGGCTATTTATTACTGCCTCAATTTCAGAACACATTATTAGTCTATTCAGAGAAACAATTTCTATCTGGTTCAATCTTGGGAGACTGTGTGTGTTCAGGAGTTTATCCAGTTATTCTAGATTTTCTAGTTTATATGCATAGAGGTGTTTACAGTATTATCTGATGGCCGTTTATATTTCTATGGGGTCAGTGGTAATATTCTTATTATTTCTGATGGTGTTTGATTCTTCTCTCTTTTTTTCTTCATTAGTGTAGCTAGCTGTCTATCTATTTTACTATTTTTTTTTCAAAAAATTTGCTTCTGGATTCATTGATTTTTTGAAGGGTTTTTCAGGTCTCTATTTCCTTCAGTTTGGCTCTGATCTTGGTTATTTCTTGTCTTCTGCTAGGTTCGGAGTTTGATTGTTCTTGCTTCTCTATTTTAGTTGAGATGTTCACTTGAGATCTTTCTAGCTTTTTGTTGTGAGCATTTAGTGCTATAAATTTCCTTCTTAACACTGCTTTAGCTGCATCCCAGAGTTTCTGATACATTGTCTCTGTGTTCTCATTAGTTTCAAAGAACTTCTTAATTTCTGCCTTAATTTCATTATTTTCCCAAGAGTCATTCAGGAGCAGGTTGTCCAATTTACATGTAGTTGTGTGGTTTTGAGTGAATTTCTTAATCTTGAGTTCTATTTTATTATTATTTTTTGTTATACTTTAAGTTCTGGGATACATGAGCAGAACGTGCAGGTTTGTTACACAGGTATACATGTGCCATAGTGGTTTGCTGCACCCATCAACCCGCCATCTACATTAGGTAGGGACTTAGACTCCTACACAGTAATAGTGGGAGACACTATGTGTTTTTGTAGAGGCTGGTAACAGTTTTTCTTTTCCATATTTAATTCTTCCTTCAGGAGCTCTTGCAAGACAGGCAGGTCTGGTGGTGACAAATTCCTTCAGCATTTGCTTGTCTGAAAAGGATCTTATTTCTCCTTCACTTATGAAGCTTAGTTTGGCCAGATATGAAATTCTGAGTTAAAAGTTATTTTCTTTAAGAATGTTCAATATTGGCCCCCAATCTCTTCTGGCTTGTAGAATTTTTGCTGAGAAGTCCACTGTTAGTCTGATGGGTTTCCCTTTGTAGATGACCTGGCCTTTCTCTCTGGCTGCCTTTAACATTTTTTTTCTCGTTTTGATATTGGAGAATCTGATGATTATGTATGTCTTGGAGTTGATCTTCTCATAGAGTATCTTACCGGGGTTCTCTGGATTTTCTGAATTTGAATGTTGGCCCATCTTGCTAGGTTGGGAAAGTTCTCCTGGATGATATCCTGAAGTATGTTTCCCGTCTTGGTTCCTTTGTCCCCATTTGTTTCAGATATTCCAATCTGTCATAGGTTCAGTCTCTTTACATAATCCCATAATTCTTGCAGGTTTTATTCATTCCTTTTCATTCTTTTTCTCTATTCTTGTCTGCCTGTCTTATTTCACAAAGATAGTCTTCAAGCTCTGAGATTATTTCCTTCACTTGGTCTATTATGCTATTAATACTTGTGATTTCATTGTGCATTTCTCATGTTGTGTTTTTCAACTTCATCAGGTTGGTTATATTCTTCTCTAAACTCACTATTCTGGCTTTCAGCTCCTCTATTGTTTTATCATGATTCTTAGCTTCTTTGCACTGGGTTACAACATTCTCACTTAGCTCAGTGAAGCTCATTATTACCCACCTTTTGAAGTCTATTTCTATCAATTCAGCCGTCTCTGCCTCAGCCCAGTTCTGTGCCCTTATTGGAGAGGTGTTTTGGTCATTTGGAGGATAAGAAACATTCTGGCTTTTTGAGTTTTCAGAGTTTTTGCGTTGATTCGTTCTCATCTTTGTGGGCTTATCTACTTTTGATCTTTGAGGTTTCTGAAATTAGAGTGGCGTTTTTGGGGAGTCTTTTGTCGTAGTTGTTGTTTTCTGTTTGTTTTTCTTTTAACAGTCAGACCATTCTACTGTAGGGCTGCTGTGGTTTGCTGGAGTCTGCTCCATTCCCCATTCACCTTGGCTTCTCTTGCACCTGGTGGTATTACCACTGAAGTCCACAAAATGACAAAGAGGGCAGCCAGCTCCCCAACTCTGGAATATCCATCCTGGGGGGCACCAACCTGCCACCCGCCCACAGGCACCTGCAGGAGGTGGCTGGAACCCCAGCTGGGAGATCTCACCTACTCAGAAGGGATGGGATCAGGGACCGACCCAAAGCAGCAACCTGGCTGCTTCTTGGTAGAGCAGGCATGTTGCACTGGGAGGGACCCTTTTTTCCCATCTGTCTATAGTCTCCACAGCTGGCAGGCTGGAATGGCTAAGTCTATGGACTGTCAGAGATGGTGGCTGCCCTCCCTTCAGGAGCTCCCTCCCAGGGAGAGATCAGAGCTTTGTCCCAGAACAAAGGTCCCCGGCAGTGAGGAGGAGTGGTTTGGGGCCCTGGTTAAAGAAACAGTCTGGCCATGATCTAGCAAGGCAGCTGTGCTGCTGTGGTGCCCCCTCCTGGTGTGGACCATCTGCACTCTGCACAGTCAGCAGGCTGGCACAGCTGAGTCCCCTGAACCACAGAGATGGCGGCCACTCTTCCCCCAAGGAACTTGGTCCCATCTCAGGTGGACTTCAGCCTGCTCTCACTGTCTGGCTGAGATTCCAAGCCAGTGGGTTCCTACCCATGAGGTGTCATGGAAATGGGGCCCACAGAATGATGCTTCTTGGTTCCCTAAATTCAGTCCCCTTCCTAGGAATATATACAAATGGATTTTCTGCCTTGGCAGTGATCTGGGGGCCAGAATATGTAAAACTCTTTGGTCTCTGCATGCCTGGGTGGCTGCCCTGCTGGGATTCCACACAGCTCCATGTATCAGAACCAAAGTCCTGGATGTGTGAGCTCACAAGGGGATCTCGTGATCCTCGGGTTGCAGAGATCCATGGGAGAAGTGTGGTTGGCTTCCCAGGCAGGGTCACACAATCACTCACCACCTCCCCTGGCTGTGGGTGGGTGTTCCCTTGGTTCCACGCCAATCCTGGGTGGACCATGATCGCCCCACCGCTGCTTCTCCTTGATCCCCATGGGTCAAGCTGCTTGCTTATTTATTCCCAATGCAAGAACCTGGATACTTTAGTTGAAGGTGCTGAATTCACTCTGACATATTTTAGAATTACCCTGCACAGCTGTCTCTTTTACAGGAAATGTTTTGCATTTTGCTGAGATTTTTTTTTACTTACTGGTTATTCTAGATTCTGGAATCTTTTAATGGTTTGCATAGGAAATATTTGCCCTTGAGTGCTTCTAATGGTGGCCACTTGTGAGACTTCATCTACATAATAAGATCCTTGATGTTCACAATGCTTATCTTAATTCAGACACTCCATTCTATTATTTTCAGGTGTTTAGATAATAACTCTTTCACTCAATTACCAATCAGGAAATCTTTGAATTTGCCTATGACCTGGAAGCCCCCTGGCTTCAAGTTGTCCAGCCTTTCTGGACCAAACTAATATATAACTCACATGCACTGTCTTATGTCTCCCTAAAACATAAAACCAAGCTGTAACCTAACTACTGTGGACACATGTTCTCAGGACCTCCTGAGGCTGTTTCATGGGTCATAGTTCCCACATTTTGCTCAGCACGAATCTCTTCAAATATTTTACAGAGTTTGACTTTTTTCATCAACAGAGAAGAGAAGGCATATGGTGACAGGGCCAGCAACCTAGCATTGTCCCCACTTATCTACATATCTAATGTAATTTCAATATGAAAGACTCTTTTTTCCAATAATTGTCATTACCTCCAGTTTGCTGATGCCTAGTATTTGTTTTTGCAAAAAATATTTTTTGATAATTAGAAATAATATTTCAAATAAAAACACAGATAATTCAATTTATCAAGTACCAGCTATTTGAAAGCCATTATGTGTGCCAATCAACATTTTATTTTCCAAACAAGTGAGTATTAGTATCTCTTTTTTTGATAGAAATGGCAAAATGAGACTCATACAGATCATTTTGCTCAAGATGACATGACCTAACTCAACATCGTTTTTTAAATAGTTTTGGTGATTCACCACACTCTGAGCTTTGGGCTAGTTTGTGAGATTTCAGTAATGCAAAAGAGCACAGGTTTCCTGCCACCTTGAGAGGCATAGGTAATCAGTGGAAAGCTTATTCTACCTCTTTTACCCTGGCCATGTTGTTTCTCCTTCATCAATATTACTCAAAGCTTCACATATAGGCATAAAGGAAGGGTGTAGGTGTTTTTCTTCATATATAAATACATCCAAATGTAGTTGAAGAGCATGTGGATCTATAAAATGCAATCTGGTTCAGGAAAGAAAAGTACTGTTTGATTCTTCACAGTATTAGTCTAAAAACTATCAGGCATATTCCTCCTTTAAAAGTAGCAGAACTGTTTGTTTTGGTTTTGCTTTTAAACAGTTTCAAAGAAATTGAAATGGAAAGTATTCAATTTATCTCACATGGTAACAAGTAAGATTGTTGTATATTATTACATTTTAAATAGGATTGAAGTAACTGTGAGACACCAACCTTGACAAAATATAAGGTTGGTTTTGACATAAGGGTGCATTGATAATGTGTTATTCTATCAGGAAAGCTTACAATTTCTTTTTATCACCAAATGGGCACTTCATTAAATTAAATGATGCTATAGAAAAATGAAGTTGATCAAATGAAATGTTTCATAATAGCATCTTGGTCCAACATTTTGAACATAAGTTTTATATTTCATGTGTATAAATTATCTAGAAACTGTAAAAGGACAAATAAAAAGTTTATCTTTATTATGTGAATGTTTACTTTATATAATATTCTTTATGCAATTAAATTTAAGTTTACCTTTTGATATTCAGAAATATTGTCAAAGAAGTGTTTATTTTCTGCTTAAACCAAAGACCTGCCTATAAAGATTAGGTTTCTTTTTATTTGTATGACCAGGAACTCTTTCATATCTGAGCTCTAGTTTATTAAAATGTAAGCACAGCCTGCTTTTATTAAAAGTTTCTTTTTCTTTACACTACATTTAACCAAAAAGAAGTTTTAAAAACTCTTATGTAATTTGGTTTTTGGAAACTCTTTCTCTTCGTCCTGCACAAATGTGCTGTATATTATAAATTTTCTTTCTATGATGAATGAAATGTTCTATATTTCTGTGACATTCAATATGGTAGTGACTAATCACATGTGGCTTTTTAGCCCTTTAAATGTGGCTAGTGCAGCTGAAGAAATGAATGTTTAAATTTGAATTAATTTAAATTTAAAATTAAATAACCATATATAACTAGTGGCTGCTGTATTAGATATACAGATATAGAATATAATAAATACATCATACATATATACATATGCACACACATGTACCATGGATTATAATCTTTTATTTTAGTTGCTTAGTTGAGTGCAAATGTGGTTTTTCAATTTCATTTAAATTTTATATTACTAGTGAGGTTGAACATTTTCATATGCTTTTAATTAGTACTATTCTATCTTTTGTCTACTGATCATTATATCTTTTGTACCCATTAACCCATTAATATTAATAATAATAGAAACGTCTTCAAAGGAGACAGAAAGCAACATTAATTGACAGCCTGTATATGGACACAGCTAAAGTATGCTCTTCATTAGGACAATTCATTGATTAAAACAAGGGAAGACCTGCTACTATTGGGAGAAAGTAAACCAACTTATCCAGGAGAATAAAGATGTCATGTTGTAGAATGAAGAGAAAATAATGGTGTTAGTAATTTCTTCTTACCTTTTTACAACTTAAGATACACTGTTTTAAATTTGTAAGTATACAAGACAGTATAATTAGCCACAGGCACAAGGCTGCTCAGTAGATTTCTAGGATCTATTCTTGTTGCATAACTGAAACCTTGCAACCTTTGGCTAATACCTTCCCATTGTTCCTTCTGTTCAGCCTTGACATTCACCATTCTATTCTCTAATTCTATGAGTTGAATTACTTTACATTCCTCTTGTAAGTAGGATCATGTAGCATTTGTCCTTCTGTGTCTGGCTTACTTAACTTTAGAATAATATCTTCCAGATTCATTTATGTTGCCACAAATGGTGAAATTGTCCTCCTTTTATAGGGCTGAATAATATTATATTGCCGTATATGCCACATTTATCTATTCATCCATTGATGTATATTTATTTTATGTTGCTTTCATATCTTGGCTATTGTAAATAATGTCGGAATGAACTTGTTAGTGCAGGTATCTCTTTGAGTTCCTGATTTTCCCTTTATTTTTTTGAAACAGCGTTTTACTGTGTTGCCCAGGCTGGAGTATGTTGGCACAACCATGGCTCACTATCACTTTGACCTCCCAGGTTCAAGCAATCCTCTCATCTCAGCTTCCCTAGTAGCTGGAACCACAACTGTTTGCCACCACACCCAGCTAATTTTTAATTTGTTTGTAGAGAAGGGATTTCACTATGTTGCCAGGGCTGATCTCAAACTCCTGGGCTGAAGCAATCCTCCCACCTCAGCCTCCCAAAGTCCCAGGATTACAAATGTGAGTAACTATGCCTGGCCTGATTTCAATTTTTTTTTAAATATATACACTAAAGTGGATTTGTGGATCATATGGTAGTTCTATTTTGAAATTTTTGAGGATGCTTCATACTCTTTTCACCATGTCTATATCAATTCACATTCTACTGAATAGTATACAGGATTCTCTTTTCTCCATATCCTCTCCAACACTTGTCATCTTTCATCTTTTTTATAATAGGCATTTCACCTATTAAATCTCATTGTGGTTATAGCTCATTGTGTTTTTGATTTGAATTTCCCTGACATCTCCACTGTTAAATCTCATTGTGGTGATAGCTCATTATGTTTTTTTTGTTCGCCCAGGCTGGAGTGCAGTGGCACCATCTCAGCTCACTGCAAGCTCCGCCTCCCTTGTTCACGCCGTTCTTCTGCCTCAGCCTCCTGAGTAGCTGGGACTACAGGCACCCGCCACCACACCCGGCTAATTTTTTGTATTTTTAGTAGAGACAGGGTTTCACCATGTTAGCCAGGAAGGTCTTGATTTCCTGAACTTGTGATCTGCCCGCCTCGGCCTCTCAAAGTGCTGGGATTACAAGCGTGAGCCACCCCACCCAGCCTCATGTTTTTGATTTGAATTTCTCTGATAGCTAGTGATGTCAATCACCTTTTTGTATAAATTGGCCTTCTGTCAGTCTTCTTTAAAAAAATGTCTGTTAGAATATTTTGCTCATTTTTAAATCAGTTTTGTTTTGTTTTGGCTATTGCAGGAGTTGCTTATATATTTTGGATATTAACCCTCTATCAGATATACAGTTTTCCAATATCTTCTCCCATTCCATTGATTGCCATTTTATTTTTTTAGTTGTTTCCATTGATGTACAGGAAATATTTAGTCTAATATGTCCTCATGTGTCTAATTTTGCATCACAGCCTGTGCTTTGGGTGTCATATCTAAGAAGTAACTGTCAAAACCAATGTCAAGAAGCTTTTGCCCTATGTTTTTCCCATGTTTTCTTTTACTGTTTCAGGCATTACATTTATTAGTTCATTTTGAATTAATTTTTGGATATGGTTTAAGATAAGTGTCCAATTTCATTATTTTGCATGTGAATATCCACTTTTCTTAACATAATTTATTGAATAATCTTTTTTCCTTGTTTATTCATGACACTCTTGTCGAAGATCCATTGACTGTTTATGTGTGGGTTTATTTCTGTTCCTCTATTCTTGTCTGTTGATCTATATGCTTTTTTTTAAAGACAATACCACACTCTTTTGATTATAACTTTGCTCTTTACTTTCTCTATAGCCTCCAAGATAAATAGCAATGATCTCTAACTCCTGTTATTAACACGTACATAGCATTCTACCACATTGTTCCACAATTAACCTGTATGTCCAATGACATATGACAAACATTCTGGTGTGTCACTGATATGGTTTGGCTGTGTCCCCACCAAAATCTTACCTCAAATTGTAATAATACCCACAAGTCAAGGGTGGGGTTAGGTGGAGATAATTGAATCATGGGGGCAGTTTCCCCCACACTGTTCTCATGGCAGTGAATAAGTCTCATGAGATCTGATGCTTTTATAATTGGGAGGTCCCCTGCACAAGCTCTCTTGCATGCCACCATGTAAGATGTGCCTTTGCTTGTCCTTTGCCATCTCCCATGGTTGTGAGGCCTCCCCAGTCATGTGGAACTGTGAGTTCATTAAGCCTGTTTTCTCTATAAATTATCCAATCTCGGGTATGTCTTTATGAGCAGTGTGAGAGCAAACTAATACAATCACTTCTGAGATGGATTTGGACTGTGAATCCTATCTTGAGCTGTCTGCTTCTCCATCTCTCTGTGTCTCTCTAAATCAGCCAGAGAAGAACTGAGACCTATGAAGAACCACACTTCTGAGTTTGGAAATTGGACCTACCTTATCTTTTTGCACTTCACTTTATTGTACCTTACAGATATTATATTTTTTACAAATTGAAGGTTTGTGGCAACCCTGCATTAAATCAGTCTATTGACATTATTTTTCCAACAGCATGAGCTCACTTTGTGTCTCTGTGTCACATTTTGGTAATTCTATAATATTTTCCATTTTTCATTATTATTGCATCTGTTATGATGATCTATGATCAAGGATCTTTAGTGTTACTATTGTAACTGTTTTGGGGCACCACGATCCACACCCATAAAATATGGTGAACTTAATTGGTAAATGTTGTGTGTGTTCAGACTGCTCTACCAACTTATGGGTCTCCTGTCTACTCCCCTCTCCTCCCTATTCCTTGGGACAAAATAATATTACAATTAGACCAATCAATAACCCTACAATGGCCTTTATGTGTTCAAGTGAAAGGAAGAATCACACATGTCTTACTTCAATAAAAAGTTAAAAATGATTAAGATTAGTGAGGAAAGCATGTTGAGAGCCTAGATAGGCTGAAATCCAGGCCTCTTGTGCCAAACAGTGAGTGCAACGTTGTGAATACAAATAATAGATTCTTTAAGGAAATTAAAAGTGCTACTTCATTGAACTCATGAATGATAAGGAAGTGAAACTGCCTTATTTCTGATATGGAGAAAGTTCTTGTGGTCTGAATAAAAGATCAAACCAGCCACAGCATTCCTTTAAGCCAGAGCTTAATTCAGAAAAAGGTTCTAACTCTCTTCAATTCTATGAAGGCTGAGAGAGGTAAGGAAGCTGCAGAAGAAAAGTTTGATGTCAGCAGAGTTTAGTACATGAGGTTTAAGGAAATAAGCATCTCTATAACATCGAACTGCTTTACCTTGAAAATATTACTGCTCATTGGCAATGCACCTGTTTATCTGACAGCTCTAATAAAGATGTATAGGTGATTAATGCTGCTTTTATACCTGCTGACACAACTCCCACTCTGCAGTCCATGGATCAAGTGGTAATTTTGACTTTCAAGTTTTATTATTTGAGAAATACATTTCACAAGACTGCCATAGATAGAGATTCCTATAATAAATCTGAGCCATATAATTTGATAAACCTTCTGAAAAGGATTCACCATTCTAGATGCCATAAGAACATTCATGATTCATAGGAGAAAGTCACAATATTAATATTAATGGAGATTAAAAGAAGTTGATTCCAACCGTCATAGACTTTGAAGGGTTCCAAACTTCACTAGAGGTAGGAACTGCAGATATAGTGGAAATAGCAAAAGAACTCACATTAGATGTGGAGCCTGAACATTCATTACATGACTCATGTGAGTCAAATATACAGAATGTATAACTTTAACAGAAGAGGAGTGATTTCTTATGGATGAGCAAAGCAAGTGACTTGTTCAGATAGAATCTACTCCACTTGAAGGTGCTGTGAATATTGTTAAAATGACAACAAATTACTTAGAATAATATGTAAACTTTGTTGATAAATCAACAGCAGAGTTTGATACAATTGACTGCAATTTTAGAAGAAGTTGTACTGTGAGTAAAATGGTATCAAACAGCATTACATGCCACAGATAAATCATTTGGGAAAGGAAGAGTTAATAGATGCCAAACTTTCACATTTGTCGTAGTTTAAGAGTTAAACTACCACAGCCACCCCAACCTTCAGCAACCACCATCCTGATAAGTGAGAAGCCATAAACATCAAGGCACGATCTTCCAAGAGCAAAAAGCTTATGACAGGCTGAAGACTTCAATGATTGCTAACATTTTTAACAATAAGATATTTAATATTCAAGGTATATACTTTTTTTAGATGTAATGCTGTTGACAGTAAACTACATTTGTTTGACTTGCTGTATTTAGATTATCATATGCTTAATTGATACTGCTTTATTGTAGTGGTCGGGAAGTAAATTCATAATTATCTGGGTTATTCCTGTATACTTCAACTTGAGTGTGTAGTCTTGATTTGGCTGTAAACCAGGCTGATGGCTTGACTGCAACATCTTAAGAGACCGTGAGGAGTAATCACCTACCTAAATACTTCCTGTATTTCTGATATAGAGACATTGTGAGATTACATGTTGTTTTAAATCACTAAATTTTGGAATAGTTTGTTGTGCAGCAAGAGACAAATAGTCATAACTGTGTTAATTTATGTAAATTTATTTTGCTTAAGGAATGATTTTATTAATTCTAATATCTTTCATAAGTTCTAATACCTTTCATTAATTATTGCTTTGTGTTTTTTAGGTAGGCAAATATATGGTCTGTCAAGACTGTCTGAAAAAAAACTTTTCTCTTTCAATAGATACTATCTTTATATTGTTTTTATGTAATATTGTGCGAGCGAAAACCAAGGAATATATTTAAATAATGGTGACACCCATTGCAATATATTTGTCTATTCCTAATTTCTCCAATATACCAACATTATGTGTAGTATAAACTATTGGTTTGATAAAATTGTGTTTCAGTATGTGAAACATAACAATTTAATAAAAAAATTAGGAATAGAGATGAAACTTTATCAAATATATTTTAGCATGTATCGAGATAACAGCTGTGTTTTTACATTCTTTTACTTGTTAAATTAAAAGATCTATAAGACATCTTATACATTTGAGAAAAACAACTATTTAAAAACACAAATAATTGAAGGTTTTATGTTCAAGTCAGTGAAAGATTCTTTTAATTTGGGAGTTATTATTGTTGAGGTTATCAAATTATATAAATATTTTTACTTTAAAACATCCTCAAACAGTATAGTATTTAGCAAGTAGTATTATTTTTGGTCGTTTTTATTGTCTTTAAAAGTAAGTTCCATGCTCCCTGAAATTAAAAACCATGGTTTCTATTTATTTCATGCAAACATTTTTGTTAAAGCACCAGTTACAGCTTTATACCTATGAAAACCTTCAATAAATGCTTGAGGAACAGAGAAGGTATCTGAGGCTTGAGGAAGAGAGAAGGTATTTGTTACCAGATGAGCTGAAATGTAGCGTCTTCAATTGCATGAATTTGAAAACATTTTCCAAATTGAAAATTCAGTTACCCTTTGAAGATTTTAGATTGCATCATTATGCTGTTAGGTTATGATCTAGAAATCCCTCATTTCTGCATCTAAGAATATATCACTGTGTATAAATCATGGATTCAAAATCAAGGTATTTCTAAGCTGTTTTACATATAATTTTAATACAGAGACCAAGAGCAGCAGTAAAAATATACTCATTTTACTCTCACAAAAGAGAAAAATGGAGTTCCTATAAACTATTAAATAAATGTGTCTGTCTTTCTCCAAGGTAGAGCCTACTGAATTAATAATAATAAAAGGGGTGATTTTATTTAATAGGGTAAGAATTAAATCAGCTCACTAACTCATACATTTTAGGGAAAAAAAAAGGTTTTCCATCTTCCGTGTTCATTAATTTCCTCATTATATATTCTTTTTGTGCTTCCACTAGAGATACACTTGTTTTCAGCCTTTGGCAATGAGTAGAGTGCTTGTGTTTATAGTCCATGGATTGCTTTTCTGTATTTCTGCTCTGTTACATAACTCATGTGAGACAAATGTTCAGCCATCTGAGATTAAAAATTACGTTTCCCAAAATTCTGCTTATCCACACCATATTTGAGTGCACTGAATAAGTGGTGATTCCCATAGAAACAGACATATAACAAAATATAACTCTACCAACCGACTTAAAATGACCAGAGTTAGCTATTTTAAGTGAATCTTTTATTTAGAAGTATAACCTTGTATAATAAGTGCCTGATTAACACAACTTAGGCTACGAGATAGTTTTTTCTAAATATAAAAGTATGGCAATGGGAGGTAGAGAGTGTAGTGAGTTTATATTTATTTATGGAGAATAATAAAATTGTAATGGAATTTTGACCATTCTGTTCTACTCAAGATAAAATCACTTATTTAATAACGAGAGACATTATGAAATAGCCATTTATGGAGTGAGTTATATATATGTTTATGTTTCATGATGACTTCCAAGCTAGTACTTTTGGTGTTATAGTCACTGCAAAATATCACACTCTGTGACATTCTAGCCAATTTAGAAGACAGTTAATATATGTTATTTGTTTTCTAAATAATGCAATTATTTACTATTAATTAATTAAATAATATTTTTCTACTAATGACAATACAAATAAAAGGCTTTATTCTCTCACATTTCTCTTCTCACCAATAAAATAAATTGTTGGAGTTTATTTCCTTATAATTCTTATGCAAGTTATACTTTTAATGTAGTTAGAATGAATTGAACTATTTCTGACCTAAGGCATAAACAAGAAAAACTTTCACTTAATTGTCAACACAAACACTTCTATAAAAAATGGTGAGGTGGAAATAAATAGAGAAAGAGGCAGGAGATGGAGAGAGAATGAGATTCTGCATTCATGCATGAAAGGCAATAAACCTGTATGATGGCTAATTTTATGTGTCATCTTTACTGACACATAAAATTTTTCCTTTACTTACATGGGTGCCCAGACAGTTAGACTAACATTACTCTGAGCGTGTCTGTGAGAATGTTTCTGGATGAGATTAACATTTGAATTGGTAGAGAAAGTAAAGTGGATTGTACTCCCTAATGTGAGTAAACCTTATCCAATCAATTGAGGATCCATAGAACAAAAGGGCTGAGTAAGAGGGAATTCTCCTTGCTTAACAGCTTTTGAACTGGGACATCAGTTGTTTCCAGTCTTCGGACTCAAAGTGAAACGTTAGTTCTCTTATCTTGAACCTGCCAACTTTCAGGCTGCAACTTACACCTGTAACTCTCTTGGTTCTCAGGCTTTCAGACTTGGACTATAGCTACACCACCAGCCTCCCTGGGCCTTCAGCTTGCTGACTACAGATCTTGAGTGTTTTTAAATGGGATCCTCAGCTACTGATATTGCCTTCTGGTTTATTCTTCATGATTATGGGTTAAACAATGGTTTCTCTTTGCTCTTCAGATGAAGTCCATAGAAAACCTATTTTCTCAGAAAAACTTTCTTTGAACACCTCAGATTATTCAGATGTTATTAGGTGCTAGAGTAGCATGTACTTCTCTATTTAGGCATTACTGCCATTTGGGCTGTGCCTTATTACTCTAATGTTTGCCTCTCTTAGAGGAACAAGGCAAAATGTGCTTTTCCTCATCATTGTATCTGTAATGACTACATTGCTTTTTGACATAAAATAGGCCTGAAAATATATTTACTGACTAGATCAATAAAAGACATTGATTAATAGACTGGAATTACATCAGTTTGTTAAAGAATATTTACAAAAGAAACCTACAGCTAAGAGCATGAATAATGATGACAGACTAACATGTTTCCCACCAAGATCACTAATAACGCAAAAATGTCTTTTTTTTTACCATTCCTTTTCAGTATAATTCTGGAAGTCCTAAATGATGCAATACGAGAAGAAAAGGGGTATACTAATTGGTAAGAAAGAAACAAAACTGTCTTTGTTCATAGATGTCAGTGTCTATGTAAAAAAAAAATATATATCTGAGCCAGGTGCTGTGGCTTACACCTTCCTAGCATTTTGGAAGGCCAAGGCAGAAGGATCACCTGAGTCCAGCAGTTCAACACCAGCCTTGGCAACACAACAAGACTCCATCACTACAAAAATAAATAAATAAATTAGTTGGCTGTGATGGTGCACACCTATAGTCTGAGATACTAAGGAGACTGAGGCGGGAGGCCCACTTAAGCCCAGGAGTTTGAGGCTGTAGTGAGCTATGATTGCGCCACTGTACTCCAGCCTGGGTGGCAGAGCAAGACACTGTCTCTAAAGAAAACAATTCTGAAAAGAATCATCATCAACAACAACAAAGCCTTAGAGCTAATAAGCAATTATATTAAGATTACAGGATACCAGGTTAATTTACAAAAGTCCACCACTTTCCTATATACCATCAATGCACAATTAGAATTAGAGACTAAAAATGGAATATCACTTACATTAGCATATCTCCAAAAATAAATACTATGATAAGAACCTAACAAAATATGTGTTATATCTATATGAGGAAAACTACAAAACTCTGGTAAAAGGAATCAAATTACAACTAACCAATTCAGAGATTTCTAGGTCCATGTATAGGAAGATTCAAGACTGTCAAGGTTAAGTTTTTCCTGATTTGACCAATTAAAATCCCTGCAAGTTATTTTGTGGATATCAACAGTCTGATTCTAAAGTTTATATGGAGAGGCAAATAATAAGTTATTATAATAGCCAATACTGTATTAAAAAAGAAAAATATTGGAGGACTAATTCTATGTCATCTCAAGATGTACTATAAAGCTACAGTAATAAAAACAGTGTGGCATCGGTATAGGTATAGACAAATAAATCTGTGGAACAAAATACAGAACACAAAAATCAACCTACAAAAATATAGTCAATTGAACTTTTAGAAAGGCACAAAAGCAACAAAATGAAGGAAAGGTAGTGTTTTTGACAAATGAAACTGGAATGGCTGGGCATTCACATGCAAAAAAAGAATTCAGATACAGACTTTACACTCTCAAAAAATTAACACAAAATGAATCACAGATCTAAATGTACAATATAAAACTATAAATCTGAATATAATACAAGATAAAACCTACATGACATTGGATTTGGTGATAACATTTTAGATAAAACATCAACAGCATGATCCATGAAAGAAAGAAATGATATGCTGGACTTCATTAAGATTTACGTTTAGTGAAAGATAGTAAAAAGACACCCTCCAGACTGGGAGATAATATTTGCCAGAGACACATCTAATAAGGACTATTTTCCAAAATATACAAATAACTCTTAAAGCTCAACAATGGGAAAACAAACAACCTAACCAAAAAATGGACCAAACACCTTAACAGACACTGCAACAAAAATGTAGAAAGAATAGCATATAGGCATAAGAAAAGATGCTCCACATTATATGTCATTAGGGTAATGCAAATTCAACAATAAAATACCATTACACACCTATTATAATTACCAAAATCCAAAACACTAAATGCTGTTAAGGATGTGGAGTAACAGGAAATTTCATTCACTGCTGATGAGAAAGCAAAATAGAACAACCACTATAGAAGACAGGTTGTCAGTTTCTTACAAAATGAAATATCCTCTTACTACATGATCCAACTATTGTGCTCTTTGGTATTTACCAGGAGGAGTTTAAAACTTATGTCCATCAAAAAACCAAACACCGCATGTTCTCACTCATAGGTGGGAATTGAACAATGAGAACACATGGACACAGGAAGGGGAACATCACACACCAGGGTGTGTTGTGGGGTGGGGGGAGGGGGGAGGGATAGCATTAGGAGATATACCTAATTTTAAATGACGAGTTAATGGGTGCAGCACACCAACATGGCACATGTACACATATGTAACAAACCTGCACGTTGTGCACATGTACCCTAACACTTAAGTATAATAATAAAAAAACTTATGTCCATAAAAAGCCTACGCCCAAATATTTATAGCAGCTTTATTCATAATTGCTCTAGAACTAAATTCTATTATTATTAATAATAATAATAATAAAGGACACAACTTCAAGCTCTTCTCTTTCTGCTTCTCGTCATCTTCTGTGTCTCACTAAATTCAAATTTCTCTTTGACATAGTCTAGTGGTTTTCAAATCTAATTGTAAAGATGGATACACACTTTCACAGATTTCATTCCTGAAAAATAAATTCAAAATTCTGGATGGTAGAAGTTAAGCCAATGTGTGTGTGTGTGTGTGTGTGTGTGTGTATGTGTGTGTGTGTATGTGTGTTTCTTGAAAACTTCCCCAATGATAACTAGTATGTATTCAAGGTCAAGAACCAGTGACAATATTCTGAATTTCTGTTTTCAGTAATATGCCTGATTTTTACATTTGGCAGTTCTCTATGATATTAATGCCTATTCACTCAATCAGAAAATTCCACATTCCCCTTCTGAGTTGCCAGAATACCTGGAATTTTCCCTGCTTGGCTAGTCTTGGGGAAACAAATTATCAAATATCAAGCCTCTGTTATTCAAATTTCTGTCTCTTTCTTATTACAATTTTAGAAATTTCCCATCATAATATCTACAAAAAGATACAACTTAGATAATATTTAAACTGTTTACCGCAAGTGACTCAACAGCATCCCTGACTAAAATTGAATAATAATAAATGGTATGCATTGAGTACTGCTCATATGAACTTTCAAATAATTATATATTAAAACATATATAAAGATATTTCATTCTTATATCGTGCTGTGAGTTAGCCATTATTTTACTCTCCTCATTTTACAGTTCAATAAACCAAAGCTCAGGATAATGAAGTGACTTGCCCAGGATTAGGCAAAAGTTGGTGACAGCCCTAGAATGTTCACCTAGGCTGCCTCGCTCTAAGACCCTTGCAGCACTTTTCTTCTCTTTACCATTGCAATACATTAATACTATCTTGAATATTCAAGCTGCCTCCCAAAGAGCCTCTAACTATCTATTTAGTTGTCTCTGCCTCAGGTACATCAACGATTTACATATGGCAATATTATAAAACCCGCTAGCCTACTTTTTATAGCATATCATTTCTAGCTTAACATTGTCTTATTGAAAATACATTGTCCATAAATGACTTCATTAATTTATTTGTGGTCTAACTGGTAGAAAATAAACAGTTTCTACTATTGATGCTACCAATCTACTATGCTGAGAATTTACATTAGCTTTTTCGTGGCTATGTAACACGGCTAACTTAATTTTATTTTACTTTATTATTTATACCAAGCCTACGTTTTAAATAGCTTATAGTTGATTTAAAGTAAAAGGTCTGGCTATAATATAATTCTTGAATCACAGGTTATATGTAAAGATAATGCCTAACCCATTCAAAGAGGGCACGGAATTGATAGAGGGGTAGCGAGAATAAAATTTGACATTAGGTACACAATGATTAATATTTGAGTAAAACGATCTCCTTATATGCTGCAAAGTAGGCTATTAATAAAAGGAGTCTCAAGCCTCCATTATAATTCACAGTACAGCAAATGTTTAAAACCATTTTCTTTACTCTTACTTCTTTTCACTTTTCAATGAATCCCAGTTTCTACTGGATTTCTGACTCTTTTTGATTTAAAAAAAATAATTCATGAGAGTGCAATATTTTCCTGATGGTTAAAATTCAGCTTGTTCTTGCTGAGACTTTGGGCACTACCTCAAATCATGTCTCCTCTGCTTTGGCTTTTCCCCAAACAATGTGCCACTGTTTCAGCCTCTACTCTTCGTCCCAGCATCAGTTTGCAACCACAGTGTGACTTACCTCAAAACTCTGACTAGGGACAATCAGAGAATTAATTTTTCTTAAAAAAGAGACTTATACAATGCCCAGTAGCTTAAAAAATTAAGTCTCATCTATAGCATCGAACTGAGTTGCTATAATTTAAAAAAATTTCACCTCCCGGTAGCCAAGGCAAAAAGAGAAACATAAAGATTTATATAGGCTTCATTGTGTATGCAATGTCTCAGGTCTATTTAAATAAAATATAAGTATTAATCATAGCTAACATTTAATGAGTCTTTACTAATCCATGCTGGACACTTTTAAGTGTTTATTCCTTATAATACATTTATGAGGTAAGTGTTATTATCCAATCCATTTGTCAGCTGATTAAACTGAGGTGTAAGAAATTAAGTGATGTAACAAATGCCCCAATTGTAGTAATTGCTTAAACTGGGGATCTGCATTGATGACTTAATTTCATAGCTTAAGAGTTGAACATATAACTGCTCTGACCATTAAGACCCTTGATTATCAAAGTAGTTCCTCCAGAAAAGAGATAACAGTCAAAAAAAAATAAAATAAGAAATTAAAGATTGACATTTTAACCTAGGCCTCAGGCTACTACTTCCAAAATTCTATTCATCTAGTGCTTTATTAGATAAATTGGTGAATTGAAACTTTTAGACTTTAGGATTATTGGACACAAATATTTTCAGAGTGATATTTTTGTTGAGTTGGTTTACTATCATGGAGACTCATATGTTCAAGTTTGTAACAATATATGTTTATGCCATTGATACTAAAAACCTTGAAGAGCAAAGTGTTACATGAAGAAAACCTTCCTTCAAAATTAATGTCTTCAATGAACATAGGGAAAGATTAGAAAGAATCCTATCAAAGGTACCTTCTAAATTCAACACACAATGATGCTATAAAATTATATATCTGTATATCAATATGACATTTGAAACATGCATGAATAGCAGATTTGTCATTAACTGAGCAAATAAAAATAAACAGAATGACATTGGATAGAGTCTGAAATCGAAGAGACTCTAACAAGGTAAATTTTTGGTGTTGAGAAGCCTACTGGATTTTATTTGGAATGAGATGTTTGATTGGATCTTTTTTTTCTTTTTCTTTTTTTTTTTTTTTTTTTTTTTTTTTTTTTTGAGATGGAGTTTTGCTCTTGTTGCCCAGGCTGGAAATCAATGGCACAATCTCGGCTCACCACAGCCTCTACCTCCCAGATTCAAGTAATTCTCCAGCCTCAGCCTCAGCCTCCCAAGTAGCTGGGATTACAGGTGCCCACCACCACTCTTAGCTAATTTTTTGTATTTTGAGTACAGACAGGGTTTCGCCAGCCTTGAACTCCTGGCCTCAGGCCATCTGCCTGCCTCGGACTCCCAAAATGCTGGGATTACAGGCATGAGCCACAGTGCCCGGCTGCATCTTACCACTTTTTTTTTCTATGGAAACAAACCTACATGCATCATCTCTTCCAAACTTTTCAACAAATTGGGATGAGGCTATTTGCTGAGACCAGCTTGGTCATGGAGACCCTAACCCAGTGGTGCTAGAGGAATTAAAGACACGCACACATAAATATAGAGTGTGGAATGGGAAATCAGGGGGCTGACAGCCTTCAGAGCTGAGAGCCACTAACAAAGTCTTACCCACATATTTATTGAGAGCAAGCCAGTGATAAGCATTGTTTCTATAGATTACAGATTAACTAAAATCATTCCTTAGGGAAACAAAGGGAAGGGCTGAAACAAAGGGATGGGTTTGGCTAGGTATTTGCAGCAGGAACATGTCCTTAAGGCACAGGTCGCTCATGCTATTGTTTGTGGCTTAGGAACACCTTAAGCAGTTTTCAGCCCTGGGTGGGCCAGGTGTTCCTTGCCCTCATTCCAGTAAACCCACAACCTTCAGCATGGGCGTCATGGCCATTACGAGCATGTCACAGTGCTGCAGAGATTTTGTTTAAGGCCAGTTTTGGGGCCTGTTTATGGCCAGATTTGGGGGACTGTTCCCAACAGCTATTGGAATAAAACCATTTGTTCTGTTTTTCTATGTAAATTATATATTTCATGTGCAATATTCTTAAGACCTAATGTACTCCTCTGAATTTTTTGTCTTGGCAAAACTCTAAATAAAATTTTTATTAGAAATGTTTTGAAATTTATCTAGCATTGTGTTTTCTGACAAATTTTCTATAATCTTAAGATACTATAAAAAAGTTTTTTACTACAAAAATAATTTAGAGAATAAATAAATAGAATGTTCATCTATGATGTCTCTTAGCTATTGCATGGTAACCCTCATAGAATATTTAGACCTCAATAAAATGAGCATGAAGTAGACAATGGTGAAGATTAGCTGAAGTACTCAAAGCATAGAAAAATAGTCTATATTTGGATTGCAAACTCTTATGCAGTGGATACATCTATTAACATCCTCTCATGAGATGGAAATTGAACAGTAACTTTTACTTAAGGTCCTTGACTTCTCTCTGTGTATTTGAGAGTGGAAATCACTTAGAGAGTATGTCAGTTCTCCAGCTCTCCAAGGACTTAATATCCCTGCGGTTGAGACCCCAGTTTACCTGAATATGTATGCTTGCAAAACCTGACAAGAGGAGAGGAGTATGTTGGTTAGAATTTTATATCCTAAGATCTTTATTTCAAATGACTCTTATTAAAAAATGGCTAAGAGATCTCTTAAATTTAATTTAAACAATTTTATTGTGATCTAATTAAAACATTTCAAAAGAAGCCGGAAAGAACAATGCATGAAATGTAGTTAGTACACAATAAATAACAGTTGAAAGAATAGCAATTTATAATTCTCAAGATTAAACTTAGTCTGGGCATATTCAGGATATAAATGGCCTATTCATTGTTGAATGTATCAATTAGTGAAAATCTTGTAAATTAATAAGCCTCAGAATGAGGCCATTTTATATAACGGCTTTTAGTTGTAGAAAAAGAAAGGAGTTCTAAGATTTTTCAAGATATCATTAATAATTGGAAACTTAAAACCCTGAAGTGTTTCAAATATGTGACTTTGGCAGTATAAACAGTGGGATTAAATCCAAATGAGCTGCCCATCAGGAAAGATTAATTTAGATAACATGTGGATTGGGAGATTCAAGTTGAAAGGTAATCAAATTGTATAATCAAAGTACTCTCCAGAGGTATATAATCCAGCTTAGTTATGCCTTGATCCCTAAAGTGCATGTCTTGTCAATTCAATATCCATCTTCCCTAGAGTCCAGAGAAGGAAAAAAAAGATAATACAAAATCATATATTCTAGTTTGTCATAAAAGTTGACAAAGAAAGTCTTCTTTCTGAATCATCTTATTTGATCTGTGGAGAAAACATGACATGTTGATTAGGGAATAGATGAGTAGACAGGTCATGTTGTCAGTCCATCCCTTATTAGCATCTTCAACTGCCTAAGGACATATAACATATTAAATATGTAATTGTTGATGATAGTGGTCATACAAGCAACGTATTTTCTTCTTTACAGCACAAGTAAGCTTAATAAGATTAAAAAAATAAATCCAATAAAAAACATTAAGGAAAACAATTGAAATATTTTGAGATAAAATTTAATAACTTACGTTAGCATTTATTTTAGTGTATTAAGTGCAGACATCTACATATATACACACACACACACACACACACATATATATAAGTAAAAGTGACACAGATGTAAATAAAAATTTAAAGATAATATTGTACTTTTGTCTGGTTTTGTATTCATTGATTCATTTACACATTGGTTCAATTACTTATTCATTTATATATCCTTTATAACCTGGGTCCCCAGCCCTTGGGCCATGGATCCCTGATATAAAGGAGGTCCATGGCCTGTTAGGAACTGGGCCTCACAGCAGGAAGTGAGCAACAGGAGGTGAGTGAAGCTTCATCTGTATTTACAGCTGCTCCTCATCACTTGCATTGCCTCCTGAGCTCTGCCTCCTGTCAGATTAGCTGTGGCATCAGATTCTCTTAGGAGTGTGAACCCTATTATAAACTGTACATGCAAGTGATCTAGGTTGCACGCTCCGTATGAGAATCTCAATGCATGATGATCTGTCACTGTCTCCTATCACCTCCAGATGGGACCATCTATTTGCAGGAATACAAGCTCAGGGCTCCCACTGATTCTACGTTATGGTGAGTTGTATAATGATTTCATTATATATTACAACGTAATAATAATAGAAATAAAGTTCACAATAAATGTAAAGTGCTTGAATCTTCTTGAAGCCGACCTCCTGCCCCTGTCTATGGAAAAATTGTCTTCCATGTAACCGGTCCCTGGTGCCAAAAGAGTTGGGGACTGCTGCTCTATATGATCTTTTTTTAAACATAAGACCATGTTATGCAATGGCTATAGAAAGGAAAGATGAATTAAAACAGATATACATTATGATTCTCAGATAGTATAGATTTTTATGTTTTAGAGGAGAAAACACATACACTAAATCCTGGTGTTAAAATAAAATAAGATTAAGTAAAGCAAGGAATGCAAATAGGCATCCACAACATTTATTTTAAAATATTTTATAATATATAAACTTAAAAGTAGGTCTTTATTGCTCATCACAATTACCATCAAATCATTAAAGGTGTGATTAGTTTGTCATATTTGGGAAGAACTCTTGCCTGAATGAGAAAAGAAAGAAGAAGAAATGTAAAGCAAAATGAAAAGTCTTAAATCCAAGATAAATATGACACTAGGAATTGTATACTAGAGAAATCACCTAAGCTAATGAAATAAGGAGTGATTGTTTCCTAATAACATTTCCTCTTTCTAATAATAAGGAAGCATTCCAATGCCTATGAATTATTGACCACTTGTTAGATCTTTTTAAAAGTTATTTTTAATATTATTAAAATTCAATTTACTTTTTAAATAAAAATTGACTACTATCTGAAATTGTTAAACACATATCCATATGGCAAAACAATGGGTTACAAGATTAATTATAGAAGTCCCATAATCTCCAAGATTCTAGAATTCTGACAAATATTTTATCAATGATCTTAACAAATAATAGCTTTTAAAAAACATAAAGAGATTTAACCACTAAACGGATGGTCACTGTGAACAATGTTTAGAGTGCTGAAAGTTATATGATTATACACATACATAGCCTTTGAAAGAATAGGAGAACAATTTTAGGAGAGTATCCTGTAGATTATAATAATTACAAATATTTAATTTTATCTTTGTCCTTAAAATAATATTGATTTTTAGCACAATTTTAAACAAAACTTATATACATACTTTCTACATTCTACAGTTTCCTCTGAAAAATGTTTAAAGCACCACAGGCCAACCATAAAAAGAACATGGGCAAAATAATTTGGGAAATTAAAAGAGCAATTATTGCTGTTTAAATGGATATAAAGAGAATAAATCTGAGTATACACAGCATAACAGTTGGATGGACTGAACCTTTGGGGTCTAGATAGAAATGTTTGTATTACAAGGCAGTTTCTCTGATGATGTTGTGGTAATTCATATTAATTTAGGTCAGATTGCTGTCTTCCTAAGGCAACAAACTGTTTATACCAGTTCTTCTCAAAAACAGACTGCCTGTGTACATCCTTGATTAGTGACACATATTAAGATTTCATTGTATCCTTTGTGTTTAAATTGCTCCTTGCCAGAGGCAGGCATTTACAAAAAAAATTAGCAAATGACACCATTCCATCAAAATTTTATGTAGAGGAATAAGCAAAGTACTTTTGAGAACTGAATAGACATGAAGATAATTTGTTTTGAAAATATTATTTTCTTGGAATATGAGAGGAGGATATATTCTATTTAAACATGAATTAACTTGTGATTTTTTTCACATAGTTTTAGTGGTGAACTCCAGATGGTAAAGGTAATTTGATGCCTATTTTTGCCCATATCATACAATTTTTGATATATTAAGTAAGCATTCAATATACCTGTCTTATTTTTTAACTCTGAATATACTTATTGCATGCATGTGATTCTTTAATATATTTTTATTAGCCCCATAAAAATCTTGTTTTGGTTTTAATACAGAACACAAAGATATTTCTTTTGACAGCAATTAAATGGTCCTATATGGGACAATTTCAATTCAAGAAATATTCTTGTGTA
Organism: Homo sapiens; assembly: GCF_000001405.40. Lineage (NCBI taxonomy): Eukaryota > Metazoa > Chordata > Mammalia > Primates > Hominidae > Homo > Homo sapiens. The sequence continues at coordinate 71,816 of NW_021159994.1, read as the reverse complement.
TCAGTGCTCACCAAGTTTAACAAGAGTAATGGGACTAAAATGAGACAAAAAACTAAAAAGCTACAAGAAACAAGCTGTAAGACAATTTTGCTTTCTTTTCCTGTTTGTTTCATCCTCCCAGTCACAGATATTTTTCCCATATAGAATATTTGGAGTTACTTAATTCCCAGAAAACATAATTATTGATGGCATAGGGTTGACAACGCTTTTGTACATTCCACATAATGCAACATTTTAATAACAAGTGTTACTTGTTTTACAATGAGTGTGTTTAAATATCAGATGAAATATGTAAGACCCATAAACTTGCACTGGTGAAGCTAAAGCATGCTGCAGGGATGTTACTGCCATAGTTAGAAGATCTGCTTGTAATCCAGCATAATTGTGAAAAAGTTAGATATTAAATATCTGATTTTTTCAATTATTAAAACAATGTATTGTTAAAAAATATATATCTCAATAATGTTCCCACACAACTTACCATTCAAAGCCATGACGATGGCTGATATTATCTTATTTACCTACTCATTTTCTATTTTACCCCACTAAAAAGTACACTCCACGAGGCCAGGTAATTTAGTTATGTTGTTGCTGCAGATCCCAGGTGCCTGAAACAGTACCACAAGAAAGTGAGAGTCAATAATTATGTGTTAAATGAAACAGGAAATAAATGAACAATTGAATTCACATGTTTTGCTCATTAAAATTTATAAACTCCTATAGTCACGTCTATCTACGCTGAATTCATTATACTATGGTACTATCATTGTGTATTAAGTTTATATTAATTCTAATTGTATGCATATCAATAAAAATAAAATTGTCTTTGAATATTAATATTTCTTAATTTTGTATTCAAATCCATATTATTGCTTATTTTTATTTCAAATCTTGTTTCTATTCATTCTTAGATTATTAGTCATTCTTTATGTCCTGTATTTTCTAAGCATTAAGATAAAATTACGTTATTTCTTTTGTCTTCCACTCTAACTCTTTAAGACAACTCAAATCTAGGGTTTTGTTTTTAAAGTTTTCAATATTGACGTAGCATGATGTAATTCTAAAAATAATATAAATATCTTTTGAAATGAATTTAAAGTCTTCTTGATTTTTTGAATAACTGAGTTAGTATTTTCATAAATGTGAATATTTCAAATTTGATAAAATTTTGTGGAATGATGTTACCAATTAATATTCTTTAGGCATATGTAGATTTGAGGAATTATAATATACATTTTTACGTAAATTAATAATAAATATTAAATATAACATTAATGTATTAATAATAAATATTAAGCGCCAAAATCTTCCAAAAAATGGCAAGAAGCCCAGCAAAGTAGGAAATCAGCCTCCCAGCTAAGTTGGACTATATTAACTCATCACAAGTTTACATGGGGATTCATGAGTGAGAATAAATAATTGGTCATTTAGGCAATGGAGAATTCAGAAATTATTGCCAAGAGTGGGGTTCTCTTTTTCATTCCCTATAGACCAGTGCAAAAAAAAATGTTTAATAACATTAATGGGCCAAAGAAAATATTCTTCTCTGCAAGTGGGGAAATAATTGAGTATTTAGCAACGATAATCTAATCTATCATACTTTGCTATTTCACAAGCACATCTGATTATTTCAAAGGAATTTTGTATATTCAGCGTCCAGTAGAGGTAGAAAAGATAGAACATGATAGCTATTAAGTAGAATGTTGAATAGTATAAAACATAGTGGAGAAAGGCTGTGTCAATATTCAGGTTTCTACTAGTATTTCTTCTCTGAATATAGCATATAAGGAAACAACTCTATATGTTTCTAATACAACTGGATGACTGCATGGAACAAGACTCAAAGGAAGATTCAACTTATATTACAAGGGACAGATACATTACAGAAGCTCACAGAAATAAGTAAGAGGTACCAAATTTTCTCATCTGTTCATCCATAGCTTAAATTACTTTAAACAGAAATTTTATGTATATATGATTATATATAATTAAATATATGTAATATATATACACACATACATTAGTTCTTGTATGAGTTTATATATAAATATATATTTACAAATTATAATTTTTATAATTTTAAGATTTTATAAATAAATGTATATATATTAAATTACATATAAATATATATTTATATATAAATATGTAATTATATATAAATACATATTTATATATAAATATGTAATTATATATAAATACATATTATATTATACACATTATATACATATATACACACATATATGCATATATACATATTATACACATTATATATTATACATTCTATATGTGTGTGTATATATATACACACACACACACACACACACACACACACATATAACTAGTTATTGTATGAGTTTGATAGGGCTGCCATAACAAAATGTCACATACTAGGTGGCTTAGACAAGAAATTTATTTGCTAATAGTTTTGTGGACTAGAAGTCCCCAACCAAGGTATTGCTAGGTTTGTTTTTTACTGAGGCCTCTCACCTTGGCTTGCAGATGATCACCTTCTGGATGTGCCACCACATCCTCAGTCTGCGTTTAACCTCAGTCTGTGTTGCCTGTGTCCTAATATCCTCTCATAAAGACACCAGCCATATTAGATTATGGCTCACCCATATGACCTCATTTTACCTTAAGTACCTTTCTACAGGGCCTACTTTCAAAGAGAGTCTCATTCTGAGCTACGAGATATTTGGGCTGCAACATATGAATTGGAGAAAGGAGATACAAAAGTTCTGTTATTAAATATGCTGTTGTTAAACAGTAAATAATTATGAGAAAGGCAATCTAGTGAATCAATAATTATAGAAAACCACATTGAATGTGGAGTAGAAAACACCTCAGAATCATAGGGATTATAAGAATGGGGAAGGACAACATGCAAACCCTAACTATTGCATTTATTTTTATAGCCCTGGGCCTTATAATATTTAAAAAAACAAATGTAGATATATTTTAAATAGTCAGGGACATTGTGTGACCCATTGTTATGTTTAAACAACTCCGTATGTTTCTAATACAAAGGCTCTCAAACATTTTTGTTCCAAGAATCACTGGGAAATTCTATGAAAGGTTTGGACTCCTCCACTGCAACCTTAAGCTTCTCTTTTCCATTACTGGTTTGGGGCCTAAGTATCTGCATTTTAAGAAGCATTTAAGAAAATTCTGATAGAGTTGATGATGGAGCACATTTTGAGACACACTGGTATAAACAAAATGTAAATTTTGTCTTTTTATTAAAAGTTTTAAAGCCCTGCTCTTAGGAAGGAGAATGCTGTCTGACTAATTTAATTAGTCCCAAAGACTCTTCCCCTTACTAGCTTTCTGAGTTATGTGAAATTAGTCACTCTTTGTCCTTGAAATTCCCATTTGTAAAACAGCCATATTAATAATACCTGCATTAAGGTAATGCTTCACATGTAATAATTGTTCAATTAATCATAGCTATTATCATATGGAGAAAGGTAGAAGATGTCAAAGCCAATAAATAGTTAGGATATAGCAGTTGCTCATACTCAGAAAGAAACAGATACAGTATTATAAAATATTCAATTAGAAAACCAGAAATCTGAATGTAGCTAGAAAAAAATTAAAAAAAAAACAGAAATGGAGTAAGGTGGAAAAGGAGGAGTGTGGAGCTACAGTGGGTGTTAAGAGATAAAGGATATTAATTTTCATTGAGAATTTTTTGGATACCAAACTCTTTGGCATAGAAGAAAGAAAGAAGAAAGAAAGGAGGGAGGAAGGGAGGGAGGGAGAGAGGGAGGGAGGGAAGGAAAAAAGGAAGGAAGGAAGTTTAAAAAATAAGAAAATAAAATAAATAAATATATATGTAGGATTCAGTCCCTATTTTGCCCACAGCGAACTAAATCTCAGAGAGATTAAGTAATTTATTAATACAAACACAAAATACTGATAAGGAGTAAATGAGGAACTCAAAATTTTGTCTTATTGTTGCAAGAATTACCACCACTGAAGTAAATGTCTGTGCAATAACTACTTTACTGAGGCTCCCTTCTGCCCTGTAGTACCAACAAAATCTCATCAGCAGTGAATTTCAAGTAAATTTTGAGTAATTGCTGAAAGGCCAAAACTCTTGTTGCCGAAGTCTCTGAGTCACACATTCCTCCAGCCTTCTCCAACTGTCAAGAAGCATGAAGGAGCAAATAAAAATTAACACACTTTCTAGACGGTATTTGATAATACAAAACATAGTAATATAAAATGTATTTATAACAAAATTTGGAGACACAGTGCATATTTGTTAAAATATCTTTTTTTTTTTTCCTGTGGGACCTCAGTCATTTATGGCTTTAAAAAATAGTTTCTGTTTTGTTTGGGCACTATAGTCTAAATAATGCTTGTAAATCTTGCACAGCAAATGGTCCCAGCAATGAAATTATTATGAAAAGTATTATGAAAGTAAACCCAGCAAAGAAATTATTAAAAGTTAAACAACGTTTTGTACTTTGAATGGGTTGCTCCACTTCACTTAGCAATTGCTGAATCCCTTATCAAATGAGCTACAGTGGTGAAAGCAGGGGACCAAGGAAGAACACAGCGCTTGTAATTCATTCCTTTTGTTATTTAATATTACATTAACAAGAAATTCCATGCCTGGATATTTTAAAACATCACTATATTATTGTCTCTCATGGATCTTTGAGTATATTGGTCTCAGACAGAAGTTCTTGCTCCAAATATCACATGTAGTTGTTATCAAATGTCAATTGGGTCTAGAATAGTCAGAAATTTGGATGAACTGGACCAGTTCAAGTGTCTGGGACCTCAGCTGGGAAGGCGGCGGTGATTCCAAATTGGTTGATCAGCTCTTTTTCTTAACATTTCTTCGTCATACAGTCGGCTTAGTCTTCTGCACAGCATGAAAATCTCAGAGTAGTCAAGACTGTTTTATGGAGACGGGCTTCTCTACAGCATGTGTTCTGTAAGAGAAATCAAAAGATACCAAACCAATTAAGCCTTGCTCCTGAAAATGGCACAGCATCCCTTTCTTCCTATTCTACTGGTCAAAGCAGTCATAGGCCCAACTCCTAGACTCTGATTCAAGAGAGCAGAGAAATGGTTTCCACTTCTTGAGCATGAAGATGGGAGATATCATTGTGATTATCTTTGGCTGGATAAAATAAGACAAGCAGAACTATCATAAGAACTATGAACCAATGAATTTGCTAATGGAGTCAGATGTTACACAATTGAAGTAGGATCCAGGGAAATAAAGGCCCCCAAAAAGAGATTAGAGAAATAGAATTGTATGGAATTTTCAGGAAATATTGATGCTCATTACATCTAGCTTTTAGAGTAGCAGCACCATAAATGGGGCTGGTGTTGAAGTCTGTGGAATCATGTTGGCTCTTTGCTCTTTGTGGTTACCTTACTTCTTAAGTTTGCATCAAATCATTTGGAGAATGAACTTGAGTTTCTCTTAGTTAGCATAGCTAACAGTCAGGAAGTAGAGTTGGATGCAGAGCAGTTAAGAGCAGAGACAAATTGGGAAAAATCTGCATCACTCTATGTGTATTTCCAAGGCAATATTTTCATCTCAAACCTAATGCCCATTTCTTCACTGCTGTTTCCCATTTAATAATTCTTTATAAGTTGAAATCATATAGAAAAGAGGTTCCGAGGAAATATAATTTCCATCATAACCATGTTGACCATAGAACATTGCAGCATATATTTAGTGACTTTGACTGGGGTTTGTGATCGCATCTACAAGTGCCAACTACTTAAAGAGTCTTACTTAATGAATGAGGTTCATTCAATAAGTAACAACTTATTTATTTGAGATGGACAATTATACGTTAGTGAAGTATCACAATAATAATGCAGACACATTAATTATCAGTGTATGGTCCACCTCCCTGGTAAATTATGTCATGTAACTTTGTGTTGCTTTAATATTAGTTGTCTACCTCTTCATTCATTCCAAAGACATTTATTTATTGAGCACTATCAATGTTTCAATATTGAGATATTGAAATAGTTTACTTCCTTATTTTGTGCAGATTTTGTATTGCTGAAAGCCAGTTTTAATCAGGAATTCATATATTTGCACTGAGCCATGATATTGGGAAGGACTATAAAAGGTTATTCAGGCAAAACTAATCCTAAATCACTGCTTTTCTTCATATTTCCCCCATGTAGCTAGTACAATCAGCATTGGTGCAATGTACCAACCTGAATGATGGCATGTCAACTTCCATTAATAGCTGAATTGATATACAAAGTTTCTGGGGAGTGTCTACATTAGTCCTGGAAGTAGATTCAAATATGTTAGAAAATTGTTTCCCATTTCAATCTGATTTCTTTAAAACTATGTGATTTAACATCTTGTAAATGCATTAGAGCTATGAATGCTATGAAGGAAAAAAACACATTTGTAAAGATTTCTTTGCCTTACTTTGTCTTGGTTCGTAAATTGAAATTATTTCAGCTTTTAGGAACATAAATGATTTGACATTTTGGTATTTTATTTTCATCACTAATTTCCCACTAGCAAACCCCCTACATGAGCAAGACAGAAAGATCATGTCACTCTCCTGTACAAATAATTTCAGCAAACTTGGAGAATAATTATGAGCCATATTAAGCACTTCTTTTCTTCCCCATATGATTGATTATCCACAACATCCTCGATTAGAAAACAGCTTATTTCAAATTCAAACAAAGCAACTACATTGAGTTAGAGTGAGAATACGAAGAGGAAGAGAGAGAAGAGAGCACGTGCTTCTTTTTTCATAATCATCTGTCATTCAGACATTAAACTATTGGGTCTTAGGTTTAACCTAAAAAGGATTTGTTTTCCAGTTACTTTCTATAAAAACGGTAGAGGCTATGTCACATTCCATGTGTGGGTGATTTTTTCCTTCTAATCTCAAAAATGTTTTAATTAAATCTGTAACATGACTGTAAAATTAAATAAATTTCAGTTTTAATATCATCAATTCTGAATTGATATAAACACAACCTTAAGTGAACATATTTTCAGGAAAATGTATTTTAAGGCCTGATTTAGTAGTCATTTAAATACTAACGCTGTTTTCACAAAATTATCTTTATTTCTTCTTCACAATTGATCCATGCATCCACAATTTTATTTACTGTCATTTTAACCTTCCCACAGTTTTTTCTTATAAAATTCCAATTTAATTCCAAGAAAAGGAAAAGATACTATGTCTACTGTATGTTACAGAAGCATTGCTTCTTAATTTTCTTTTATTACTAGCTGACATATTTGAAGATTTCAGACTATGTATGTCACAGAATCTAAAACATTCTTAAATTCACCATGTCAAATGCCACAAAACAGCTACTATCTTAATTAGTTCATAAATGCTGTAATGTAGATTTTCACATCAACCTCTTAACTGGAAACCACCTTTTGCTGATTTCACCTATGGTAAGCCCTTTAAATAACATTATCTCTTCTAACACAAACACACAGGCAACCACACTTGTGCTGGGTCACTTAGCAAGTGTGTAGCAGATCACTCCACTCTTACCTTTTTTTGGTCTTTTCATTAGACCATGAACTCTGTGAGAACAAGAACCACATCTTATTCCCCTTTGAATACCCAGGACTTATCCTAGAGCCTAAAGGAGAATTGTCACTCAATAGAAGTTTAATAAATGAATCTATTTAAATAGAAAAATTACATTGTTTCTTCTCTGCTAGATTATGGCTAATAAAATATCAGACTACCTGTTCACAGTATATTACACAAATGTATTTAGTAAGTACATTATTCCTTCATTTAGTATTTCCAGGTGATATATTGGGATCAACAGATAAAAATGAAACCACATTTGGAAAATGTGAGCAACCATGAAGAAAGGTTTGAGTGTCAAAAACATCCACGAAGGCAGTGAATTCTTCATCAGTGAAGTTTCAGGCAAAATGTGACTGATTATTGGACCTAGCTATCAGAAAACAAACATGACAATGAAAATGATTATTAGACTATGTTCCACCTGAGGCCATTTCATACTCATTTTTTTAAATTTTGTTTTAGAAATGAATCTGTAGAATAATTCCGCTCACTACCACAATTTCCACAAGACAGTGTCACACCAAACCCTCTATTTACATTGCACATTATCAATGTCTTTCCCTTTTGAGCATTATTTTATATTATTTTAAAACCATTTTATCTGAATAAAAATATTTAAAATGTTCAGGGTTCAGATGACAAAATAGCAAACCTCTGGAGATGACTATGTATATTTGTACCATAGTTGCCAGTGTTAAAAAGGCCTGAAACATGGTCCAATAACATAACAAATCAAAAGTGACATAGTTAATTCAAGGAAAAGGGCCAGCATACACTATGTAATCCTTTTTTTTGCTGACTTGCACAGGAACAAACATCAGTATGTAATGATGCATTATGACATAAAATAGCAGGGGTAAGGGGTAAGCACAGACAGAAATCTTTTCTGCCGCATTTATGAAAGATTCAGAGCCACTTACTGCCCTTTTTTGCTGGTCTATGCATGAATCAGTTTAACAGCTCAATTTACAATGTTATTTCTCATGGAAGGAATAGAGAAAGTATCAGATGTTCTAAGAAATCTATGTAAGTGAGAAATTAGCCATTTTCAATTTTGTACAGTGAGAATGTTTGTTTTCTCAAATGTAATTTGCTATTCATTAAGAAAATGAATAAAAAATTATTCTCTACCAAAAGGACACATGTATAGGTAGGTGAATGTATTTGGACATACAAATGAAACTCTCTCTCAGAGTCCTGGATTAGCTTCTACAGAAATAGAGTAATTTTAGTAATTTTTCTTTGTTATAGAAAACTTTTTATTCTACTAGTTTAATGTATTTTACATATATTTGGACATTTTAGGACAATGAGATTGATAAGTCAACTGGCAATAATTAAATATCAATTGACCAAAGACAACAATGCTTAAAAGATACCATTCGAATGAACTCAAGTCAATGTTCGGCCTGGTAAAAACAATAAGACTTCTATAACAATCAGGTTACTTTGAGAAGTATGCAAGTACACAGGGTCCCATTCAGTACTCCCTTTTACATCCCCAAGTAAGAAAAAAAGTTAAGAAGTGTGGTTCACTATTTTAAGGAGTGTTAAAACATTAAATTGAACAAATATCTGCAAACATGTACAGGAATATAAAGCAAAAGTAAAATAACACTGCATTTGTAGAGTTATTCATAGCACTGTGGATAAAAACACAGAGATAAGGACTAGGATCCCTTGATTTTAATTCTAACTCTTCTACTTAACTTGGCGACTAAATTGAAACCTATACGTGAGCTCTTTAGAGGCTCAGCTTCCAACTTTCTCACATGTAAATATCAAGTTTAAGATTAGAACCCGGCAGGGTGGTTCATGCCTATAATCCTAGCACTTTGAGAGGCCGAGGCGGTCGGATCACTTGAGGTCAGGGGTTCGTGACCAGCCTGGCCAACATTGTAAAGCCAAGTCTCTACTAAAAATACAAAGATTAGCCTGGTGTAGTGAGGCATGTATGGAACTCCAGCTATTCCGGAGGTTGAGCCAGGAGAATCACTTGAACCTGGGAAGTGGAGGTTGCAGTGAGCTCAGATCATACTGAGTGAGTCTCTGTCTCAAAAAAAAAAAAAAAAAAAAAAAAAAAAAAGATCAAATAATCTCCAAGGTCTCTTTCAACTCCAACATTTTCGAGTTTTACAGTACTACTTTGGGATACAGTATTATTCCAAGGATAGCAAAGAACATTTATTTTGATCATTGCCTCAAAATATGTGAAAGAGAGATCAGTAAAGTGCTTTTTTTGTTTTGTTTTGTTTTTACATTCTGGGTTTGTGGTCCTATTAAGATTTAAGGGCTTAGGCAGAAAAAGACAAAAAACATCGTATTATTTCTTGGGTGAATTTTTATCAATTTAAGTATCTTGGAAAACATCTTGAACATACAGAGGGTGGGGTAAGAAATCATTTACTGCTTATTAAGAGTAGCTGGATCAGCTAGTTGACACAGAAATGTCTGCTAAGCAAGGTCTCTGTGGTCAGAAGCACAAAGTTTTGAGTTCTGACTTGGCCACTGGCCTTTGAGTGATGTTGGGCAAGTTACTTACATTGCAATGGATTTTATTTTCCTCATTTTAAAAATGGAGCTACTCACATTTAACTTACATAGTCATTCTCAGACTTATATAACACTGTTAAGTGCCCAGCACTAAAAGGTGTTTGTCAAATGTTACTTCATTTTCCATTGCTTGCAGGCTTTACCTAGGCCACTGAAGTGTTTTTTGACCCGTGTATTTAGAAAGTGTTAGATGGGAACATTTCAAAGTGCTAGAAAGTGGAAACAGCTTTTCCTCACTTCCATTTACTAAGCCATTTAGGTCAAACTCAATTCAAACAAACTCGCATTTAAAAACTTGAAGGTAAGTGCACTGTGAATAGTACAGTATTTTGGAGGAAAAAACAAACAAACAAAAAAAGAGCATCATCTCCTTCCAAGAGCTCCTAAAGCAATGCTTTGGTGCCTGCAGTGGAACTCAGCTAAATATTGTTAGTAAAAACAGTAAATGTTAATCACACTAAGAATTTTTCTACATTGAAACAATAAGTCATAATTTTGGAAGCCAGAGGCACTTCCTTCTGCTGCTCCTGTCAGGTGGCATTACTTGAAACACTGCAGCACTATCTGTTTACCAAGGTAGAGTGGAAAATAATGGTTACAGTTAAATAAACTGTATGTTTTTATATGACTTTCAATGAAAGTCTGGTGTTCTTAACTAGATGCATTGAAAAATGCCTCTGCCAAGATTTTCAACTTCCTTATCCCATTCTCCATTTCTATATCGAATTTCTAATATTCATTGAATAAAATAAATCTAATGAACTTCAATGATGCATTTGAGAATCAAAATATTCAATACTTACATGTAGCATTTGTTACTGAAAGAGCTAAGTAATAACAACATTTTTTAAAAAAATTTGCATGTTTAAAATTTTGCTTTTGATTGAGCAATGACAAAAGTCATTGACTGTTTATGATTATGGCTAAGCATTGTGCTGAAAGGAACATAGCTCAGCATAATCGTGGGATGGAAGTGACCAAAGATGGTGAAAAACAAAAGCAAAGGCCTGGTCAGCAGTCTGATCACTTTAATTTGTGTCACACAGGCATTATCTACTCATTGGAGAGGACATGTGTCAACTTTGTTAGAGAAAACTGTTAATAACTGAAGTAGAAAATTAAATTTAGGCCTTCTATGCTCTTTTAAATGGTGGTTCTCTTGTGACCAGTTCCGTTAGCCCAGAATCATCCTAGCAACATGATCTCTGGCCTTAAGAAAGATACCATGCATACATATATGACTTAGCTAGAGAACATTTGAGGAAGTACAAAATAACAGAAAACAAATTATCCTCAAATGTGGAGGCAATGATGAATCACAATGCATGACAGATAGGAATGAGAAGCCTAGGAACTGAGTTACAACCTCTCAACAGTGAATCAATACAGGAATCAAAGCCAGGCTGGAAAATGCACACTTTACTCAGACGACCAAGTTCAAAGTTGCATATCATCTATGAACTCTAGAATGGAGGTAGAGCGGTAGCCTCAGGCAGAAAGCACTGTATGCTGTTCCCTATGTAGAAACTTACGTGGAGAATGTGGTGATGTCATTTAAAATTTTGACTCTATAATTATTCTGCATAACACAATTTGTACTGAGTTTTAAAGGGAGGCATTACGTCACTATCACTATACTCAACATTTCTAAATTTTTACTCTTATATTTAAAGGTCCATCCTCCAGAGAAAATAGGAGATTTTTGCTTTTACTGCTGTTAGTTTTTGTTTGTTCTTTGTTTTTTGTTTTATTTGTTTGTTTTGTTTTTTCATGCCATGGAAGTGAAGAAGGCCAACTGATCGTGGGGTAGAAGGTTGGGAAAAAATCATATTCAGCAAGAAACAAGCAAGAACAAAGTTTTTGGGTATCCCACATGTGGAAAGAATGATGCAAACAAATTTTAATATGTCTATAAACAGAAAGCAGGGAAACCTTGCCACACATCAAACCACAGGCCTTCTATGACTGGTTGAAGGAAGAAACCATTACGAGTTAAAGTACCAGGCCAGAAGCTACAGAAAAAGCTTTCCTCATGGATCTTTTTCATGGAAGAGCCTTTTGCAACACTTGAATGACTACAGTAAGTGACTATGAGGAGACATAATACACACTTAAATACATGTCTAGCTTACACATAGTGTTTCCAAACACCACCTCATTTTATCTCATCTCCAAGTATTAGGTATTATTATAATCAGCCCATTTTCAAGATAAATAACTGAAACATTTAGTGACAGTCCCTGGTTCTCAGTTTTGGATACACATTAGAAACACCTGAATATGTTTTAAAAATACCACCAATCCTTGAGTTTAGAATCTGTGGGAGGTGGGACCAGGCATTGGTATTTTTAGATGGTTGGAATATGAAACCAAAGTTAAGAAGCATGAATTAAATATTTTTTTCAAAATAACACCATGAGTAAGAGTGGATTCAGGATGGACACCTAGAAAGGCAATTTCTTTATGATATATTTCACTGTCCTGTAAGGTACATTTGGAAAAGCAACAACAGGCTTGAGTCAATGCTGCAGCTCAGCCATGCTCTAGAATTAGAACAGCATCTTATATGGTATGTATCAGCACACTGTGCTAGAAATATTCCTGTTTTTTTTGTTTTGTTTTGTTTTAAGAAACATGTGACTTCTCACTGCTCTTACTGTAAAGATTAAAAATTTTCACTTGGTCTACAAAGACAAAGATCCTCAGAAGCTGGCCTCTCCCTAACCCTTCAGTCACAAGAGGCAATTCAGGCATTGACTTTTCCCTTCTGCTGTGTCTCTAGTCTTGGTTTCCTCAGTGGTTGTGGCCTCTGCCTGGATTATGCTGTCTTTCCTCTTCCCCACATTAGCATTTGCTTTAAGTTCGAATTTTGTTTTAATGGTTAAGTCTCAGGAAAAACACGATTTTTCTTTCTTTCTTTTTTTTTTTTTGAGATGGACTTTTGCTCTTGTCGCCCAGGCTGGAATGCAGTGATGTGATCTCGGCTCACTGCAGCCTCCACCTCCCAGGTTCTGGTGATTCTCCTGACTCAGCCTCCTGAGTAGCTGGGATTACAGGTGCCTGCAACCATGCTCAGCTACTTTTTGTATTTTTAATAGAGACGGGGTTTCACCATGTTGGTCAGGCTGGTCTTGAACTCCTGACTTTAGGTGATCCACCTGCCCAGACCTCCAAAGTGCTGGGATTACAGGTGTGAGCCACTGCACCTGGGAGGAAAAACATTTTTATTACTAGTTCCAAACCTCCGCTCCCCTAGCCATATGGATTCTCAGAGCTTCACATTTCTTTCTTCCACTTTTATCGTCTTATTTGTTAACTATAGATAGGTGACTGCTGAGTCTAAGCCTTTAACTTTCTTCACTCTCCGTGACCCTCAACAAAGTACCTAGTGAGCATCTCCATTTCACTTTCCTTATGCCACCTTAAACTCAAGCTGTCTTCTTGAAAAATTTATTTTCCTTCTCTAAAATGTAAGTCCTCTGAAGTTTGTTTTTTTTTTAAATTTTACTAAAAACATCAATGTTCTCTTCACTGTCAGGGCTTGAATTGTTAATAAATGGTGTTGGGAAAACTGGCTAGCCATATGCAGAAAACTGAAACTGGTCCCCTTCCTTACACCTTATACAAAAACTGACTCAAGATGGATTAAAGACTTAAATGTAAGACGTAAAATCATAGAAACCGTAGAAGAAAACCCAGGCAATACCATTCAGGACATAGGTATGGGCAAAGACTTCATGTCTAAAACACCAAAAGCAATGGCAACAAAAGCCAAAATTGACAAATGGGACCTAATTAAACTAAATACCTTCTATACAGCAAAAGAAACTATCATCAGAGTGAACAGGCAACCTACAGAATGGGAGAAAATTTTTGCAATCTACCCATCAGACAAAGGGCTAATATCCAGAATCTACAAAGAACCTAAGCAAATTTACAAGACAAAAACAAACAAGCCCATCAGAAAGTGGGCAAAAGATATGAACAGACACTTCTCAAAAGAAGACATTTATGCAGCCAAAAAACATATGAAAAAAAGCTCATCATCACTGTTCATTAGAAAAATGCAAATCAAAACCACAATGAGATATCATCTCAAGCCAGTTAGAAAGGTGATCATTAAAAAGTCAGGAAACAACAGATGCTGGAGAGTGTGTGGAGAACTAGGAACGCTTTTACACTGTTGGGAGTGTAAATTAGTTCAACTGTTGTGGAAGACAGTGTGGTGATTCCTCAAGGATCTAGAACCAGAAATATCATTTGACCCAGCAATCCCATATATACCCAAAGGATTATAAATCATTCTACTATAAAGACACATGTACATTATGTTTATTGTGGCACTATTCATGATAGCGAAGACTTGGAACCAACCCAAATGCCCATCAATGATAGACTGGATAAAGAAAATGTGGCACATATACACCATGGAATACTATGCAGCCATAAAAAAGGATGAGTTCATGTCCTTTGCAGGGACATGGATGAAGCTGGAAACCATCATTCTCCGCCAACTAACACAAGAACAGAAAACCAAACACTGCACATTCTCACTCATAAGTGGGAGCTGAACAGTGAGAACACATGGACACAGAGAAGGAAATATTACACACTGGGGCCTGTCAGGAGGTGGGGGGGCTAGCGGAGGGATAGGATTAGGAGAAATACCTAATGTAGGTGACGGGTTGATGGGTGCAGCAAACCACCATGGCACATGTATACCTATGTAACAAAACTGCACATTCTGCACATATACCCCTGAACTTAAAGTATAATAATAATAATAAAAAGAATTACTTATGAGTCTTTTTTCACCAGTGTGTTCACCTAGTCTTTTAACCCTGGTGGATGAATGCTCAAAATGTCTCTTAGTCTATCGTCTTCTTTTCATTTCCATTGCCATTCCCAGGTTCAAGCACTCATCACTTCTAATTTAAACTACTACAGCATTGCTCAACATGTGTTGGACAACACACTTTAACTTCATGCACAGAGCTTATTAAAATGTTGACAATTGTGCTTTTTTTTCAGAGCAAATGAGTTCAAATATCTGAGGCTGAAATCTTAGGATCTGTGTTTTAACAGGTTCCCACATTATCACCCTATCCACTGAACTTTGAGAATCATGCAACTGAAATAACTTTCCTAGCATTACTCCAGTTCCCATCCTTTCTTGCTTCAATTAAACATAGATGCTCCTTTTGCATTGATTTTGCAAGGAATTATTCCAGTAATAAGGTCCCCAAACAGAAATTCAGTTAATTTCTGAAATTCCATTGCAGGTTTAAAAAAAAACATTAAGAATACATGTAAAGCTTTACTGGGAACATTTTAATTCTAATATGCGGTTTGAATTTACTGTCCTACATATATTCCTTTTAGTTGTCATAAACTCAAACTGTAAGACATATTTTTGAAATTTTACTTTGAAATAGTTTAGCATGTTTACACCTTTGTGATGTCAGCTTGCTATTTTCTTTATCTAAAACATACTTGCTCCAACAAATGCTTCAACTGACAAACTTCCAGGCTCACCTCAAATGACACCTTTATAATTAGTCTGTGGTGATCTTTCAAGTGTCAAGAGCCAATAATTTTATTAGATATCCCAAATATAAATGATAGCTATTTCATGGCTTGTACCACCCCAGTTCCATTATACTTTTGAATATATGGTAGGGATCCCTGTATTGACTTTCCTCTCTACTTTTACTTCATGTCTGCTGTACTTTCAAGGTATGTCTTCATGTATCTGGGCACTTGGGTGCAAGTGCTGCTTCCCATTAACCCGTAAGTCACTGCTGATGTTGGGGATTCAGATGCCTCTGCCTTGAAGGAGAAACTCAATGCAAATACTGTATCTGTAGAACTCAAATGCTTCTAATTAATGATGGAGTTGGCGATAATGCTCTTGTCTGGAGAGTTTTCTTATCAGAGGAAAAGCACTTCTCTCTTTTCTCTGCCACATAACACTTTCTGGCGACCCTCCTCCCCTGCCCACTACTTTTGTCATTCATGTTTTAATTCTGATTGTATTTAAGTGATTAATGGATAACACCTTTCCCAATTTACAAGCAACTGATAGATGAGAAATCAGATTAATGTAGATTAAACTACTATATTGATTAAAACTGGATTCAAAGATAAGACTCAGGAGGAGGGCCAAATGGCCTTGTAGCCCTCACCTGAATAAAAATGACAAATTCATCCTATAAACTAGATAATTTCACATCTTCTCTACAGGGGCAGAATCTGCATTGCAGATGAGCAGGCAAGAATGGACCTGTTGGAAGAAATCATTCCTTCCCCACTCCTGAGGTTCTATTCCACTTGGAAGCTCTTCATAAAATACTCCTGAATGACTGCTCTATACCCCTCACTCACTTCTTTAATCTAATTAGAGAGTTCGTAAATAAAAAAAAAAAACACCCTTATTTCCACACTCTTTTTGGTTTGTTTTTCTTTATAGTATAGGAATCCAGTCTCCATGGCACAGGTATGAGGGACAAACCTCCTGTGGAAAGGCCTCTGTCCTCCAGTTTGACCAGAGCCATGTTAGGTAAATCTTTATATATGAGCCATAGTCTCCAACATCAATTTTATCAGGAATAAAGGAGATATCACTTATATAATGTATTTCTGTAAAATACGCCAGATGGCATCATTTATCTGGCAAAAACCCTCCAATTATTCTTTATTTTACTCAGAATAAAATCCAAAGTGCCCACACTGGCTTCACAGCCCTCTGTGAGATGGCTCCCCATGACCTGTGTATTCTAATCTCCTCCTTGCTGCCCCCATTCCCTTTCCTGCAGCCATTCTGGCCTTCTGGTTTACCTGTGAACACATAAGACATTTTCTAAGCCTGCAATTCTCTTCCTCTAAATAACTCATTTTAGCCCTTCAAATCTTTGCTCAAGCTTCTGCTTTCCAATAAGCCCATGCTGAAACCTTGTTACTCCATTTAATTCTGCAACCTACTCTCCTCCCAACACTCTCAGGTTAGCTTTCGTCTTCTACTTGACTTTACATTATCGTCTTTAGGTACGCTATACAGTTTCCTCATTATGTTTGCTATTCATGGCATATTTCTCCCAACTGGAAGTTCCACCAGGGTGGCAGTTTTTGTATCTTCTGTTCCATGATATATTCCAAGCACTTAGAACAGTACTTGGAACATAGAAGGCACTCAATTAACATGGAGGGAAATCAAGCCTGGGATGGAGACAGAAGTCATTATATGATACTAGCTCCCATGTTGCTGAAATCCTTGGGGTATAATATGAGCAAACTAAATGGTAGTTATTTTAAAATTTTAATTTATTTTTCCATTTTGTGCTACTCGAGTGTGTGGCTGCTAAATATGTTTCTAACTTCAACCAATATGACAGTCACTTCCTTTTCTAAAAATGAAATCAAATTGTTTTAAAAAGGACTAGATACTATATTTTTAAATATATGACCGTTTTGTATATAAGAAATTGCCAATATATTTGGTATAATTAAATCTATATATTTATGTGCCACAGAATGAATAATTTCAACTCTTTAACTCTCTACTGACTATTGTTATTTAAAAATTTTGAGCAAGAATACAACGGAAGTCGTGCACAATAGAATGGGGCTAGCATGTTATCATTTGCTGCTAATGGAAAATGTTTTCTGTGAGAAAATAATCCTGTAGAAATAAGATAATATAAATAATTTTAATATAAATAACACTGTATATGCATTTAAATAACAAATATATAAAACATATTTGTTATATGATCAGCCTTGGCAACATAGGGAGACTCCTCTACAAAAAATTAAAAATCTAGTTGGATGTGATGGTGTGTGCCTGTAGTCCCAGCTACTTGGGAGGCTGAGGTGGAAGGATTGCTTGAGCCAGGAAGGTCAAGGCTGTGGTGAGCCGAGATTGCATCCTCGCATTCCAGCCTGAGCCACAGAGTGAGACCATGTTTCCATAAATAAATAAATTGTTATATGTATTATAGAATATATATGTGATGAGCTGATCGTAAGAAAGAATGGCTATATTTCATGTGTAAGGCATTGTTTGGCATTAATTTGAAGACTCTATAAGGTATCGGGAATATATATATGAATTTATGCTTTAAAGAAAAATAGTGGGATCACTTGCTTTTCATAAAAAGTATTATACTTTGCATGAAGATTATATTTATGAAAATTTAAAAGGAATATTTGGGTATTCTTTCACAGGACAAGCAAATAGATTGGTTTTTAGATTATTTTTTGTTGTTTTTGTTTTGAGAAGGAGTTTCGCTCTTGTTGCTCAGGCTGGAGTGCAGTAGCGCCATCTCAGCTCACTGCAACCTCAGCCTCCAGGGTTCAAGTGATTCTCATACCTCAGTCTCCCAAGTAGCTTTGATTACAGGTGCCTGCCACCATGCCCTGCTACTTTTTTTTATTTTTAGTAGAAACAGTGTTTGACCATGTTGATTAGGCTGGTCTCGAACTCCTAAACTCAGGTGATCCACTCGCCTCAGTCTCCCAAAGAACTGGGATTACAGGCGAGAGCCATGGCACCTGGCCGGTTTTGAGTTTTAGAACTGCATGCTTATTGAATAAACTAGGCATCCTTAAAAACTAAAAAAAGCCCATGACAATTTTTTATTATCTTTGAGTCAAAGTACAAAAAACAAGTGGGAAATTTAGGTCACTGCTCCAGGCACAGTTATAAAAGCTTTTACTTTGTCATTGATTCTATTAACCTGATCAGAAATTCTTAATTTTTCTATTATTCCTTCAACAATTACCTCAATAGGTATGGCCTATCTTTATTATTATAATTTTTGCACTGTACTGAATGTTTTCCACTGGATTGTAAAATCTTTTAGGGGACAGAATTTGTTTCCATTTGTATTGTACCTGGAGGCTAGTAGGCTTTGATAAAAAAAAAATGTTAAACTTAACTGAAAGAGGTGCTGAAGATAGAAATGAGCTTATGTTCCTTGTACCCAAAGAGGTTAGCATCTAACGAGGCAGGTATCCCAAGTTAATAATGACAATGTTATGTGAAAATGCTACTGCAAAGTTGCAGAAATGTTGTTTAGGAGCACAAAGAAAAGATACCTAACTTAGCCTACATCCAGAGGAATGAGTTGATCAGGAAATGGTTCCAAAATGATGACATTCCTAGAGGTGAAGTTGTAGATTCCCAGGCAAATATGGTTTATAATAAGGTTTTATACAGAAAGAACAGAGTAAGAAAAGCCAGAAAAAACAAAACAAAGTAGAATATGTTGAGACCCAATTTTTATGTTTAGAGAAAGCAGTTAATCAAAAATACCTAATGCATGTATCTTTTATCTAAAAGTGCAGATAGGCTGGAGCAGTGGCTCATGCTTATAATCCCAGCACTTTGAGAGGCTGAGGCAGGATGATCGCCTGAGCTGAGGAGTTTGAGATCAGCCTGCGCAACACAGGGGGACTCCTTCTTTACAAAAAATTTAAAAACTAGTTGGATGTGATGGAGTGTTCCTGTAGTCCTAGCTACTTGGGAGGCTGAGGTGGAAGGATTGCTTGAGCCAGGGTGGTCAAGGCTGTAGTGAGCTGTGATTACACCACTGCACTCCAGCCTAAGCCACGGAGTGAGACCCTGTTTCAATTTGAAATTATATGTGACAAAAACTCATCTGTAAAACACATTCTCTATGCTACTAAACATTTTCAAGGTTTGATACATTTTTCACAGGGAATATATATATATATATATATATATTTTTTTTTTTTTTTTTTTTGAGACAGAGTCTCACTCTTTCACCCAACCTGGAGTGCAGTGGCATGATCTTGGCTCATTGCAACCTCCGCCTCTCAGGTTCAAGCCATTCTCCTGCCTCAGCCTCCTGAGTAGCTGGGATTACAGGCAAGCACCACCAGGCCCCGCTAATTTTTGTATTCTTAGTAGAGACGGGGTTTTACCATGTTAGCCATGTTTGTCTCAAACTCTTGACCTCGTTATCCACCTGCCTCGGCCTCCCAAAGTGCTGGGATTGAGCCACTTCGCCTGGTCGGCCTGCTTGCTTTCCCCTCCCTTCCTCCCTTCGTCCCTTCCTCCCTTCCTTCCTTCCTTCTTTTTCTTTCTCTCTTTTTCTTTTTTCTTTCTTTCTCTCTCTCTCTCCTTCCTTCCTTTCTTCCTTCCTTCTTCCTTTCTTTCTTTTTTCTTTGTTTTTTCCCTCCCTCTCTTTCTTCTTTCCCTCTCTTTCTTCTTTCCCTCTCTCTCTTTCTTTCTTTCCTTTCTTTCTTCTTTCTTACTTTTTTCTTTCTTTCTCTCCCCCTTTCTCTTTTGTCCTCCTCTTCCCACCATCTCTCCCTTCTTTTCTTCTGTTAATCTTTTCATTGTTAATTATAACCATAGTTCTAGGATTAATTTACAATTAAGAAACTAACACATCAAGACACTCTTTTGAAAGAACTATGTCTTATCCAAAACTTATCAGACTATTTTGTTCACTTAGAATATATATTTTCCTTGTGGGCCAGGCACAGTGGCTCCCGCCTGTAATCCCAGCACTTTGGGAGGCTGAGGCAGGCAGATCACAAGGTCAGGAGTTCGAGACCATCTTGACTAACATGGTGAAACCCTGTCTCTACTAAAAGTATACAAAATTAGCCAAGTGTGGTGGCATATGCCTGTAATGTCATCTACTTGGAGGCTGAAGCAGGAGAATTGCTTGAACCCAGGAGGTGGTTGCAGTGAGCCGAGATTGTGCCACTGTACTCCAGCCTGGGTGACAAAGCAAGACTCTATCTGGGGAAAAAAAAAAAAAAAGGAAGGAAAGAAGGAAGGAAGGGAGGGAGGGAGGGAGGGAGAATTTGTACAAGATCTGTCTCCTACTACATTAATAAGTGGGTAATGTGTTAACTCATGTCCAAAATTGAACTCCTAGTCTTTCACCTTAAACTGGTTTCTCCTACAATTGTTCACATCTTCGTGTATATGTTAACTTGTTCCTTCCATTTCATCCGATTAAATACTTTAAAGTTGTTTTCAATGTATCCTCTAAATCTTTTGGAAATTTTCATTTATGTAAGATATAGTTATGTTTGGCATAATTTTGTTGTTGCTACTATCATTATTGTTATAAAGCACAAGTATGAGCAAAAGAGTAGCTGAAGTTGAGTAATCAAAATTACGGGTTGTTCTATGTCTGATGGGCTTTTCGGCAGCATTCATAAAACTTCTTTGTAGTCTATATATCCGTTGGTGCATAGGGTGAAATATTAACCATATATTGACCTATATTTAGAAGAATTTTAGATAGAAGATAGATATAGGGAAATACATATTATAAGAGATAGGAAAAAGCAAAATGTGTTTTTCCTATTCTCACACAGTGAACACAGAGCATTTTGCCTGTGCTCACCAAAATGTGCATGAGGTTTTTTTTGTTTGTTTGTTTGTTTTGTTTTTTTTTGAGACGGAGTCTCGCTGTCTCCCAGGCTGGAGTGCAGTGGCGCGATTTCGGCTCACTGCAAGCTCCGCCCCCTGGGTTCACGCCATTCTCCTGCCTCAGCCTCCCGAGTAGCTGGGACTGCAGGTGCCCACCACCACGCCTGGCTGATTTTTTTTTTTTTTTTTTTTGTATTTTTAGTAGAGACAGGGTTTCACCGTGTTCTCCAGGATGGTCTCGATCTCCTGACCTCGTGATCTGCCCGCCTCGGCCTCTCAAAGTGCTGGGATTACAGACATAAGCCACCTTGCCCAGCCTGTGTGTGAGTTTTTAGCCATACACGTGGGTAGGGAAACACAAGCAACTGGAAAACTAAAACTACTTTTCCTAATTTTATGCTCAATACAACACAAAGCACTTCACCTTCCGTCACCAAAATGTGTGGGTGTCTCTCACCACTATCAACCAGTTCTCTGGTGGACACCAACTGGGTGTTTTATAATTTAACTTAATTCTAACACTGTCTACCTGGAGATAGCATCAAACCCCACAGGTTAAGGGCTTATTCCCACAAAACCACTCCCCACTTCAGATGCCAGTCGCAGGTATCAGGTTGTCACCTTTACTTCTGACCTACTGCCTAGAAATCAGGTCTTTCAAGAGCTCCCCTTTGGGTTGAATTAATTTGCTAGAGCAGCTTAAGGAACTCAAGGAAACACTTTGCTAATGATTACCCATTTATGATAAAAGATATTACAGAAGATATAGATGAATAGTCAGATAGGAAAGATACATAGGGTAAGCTATGGGAAGGCAGAGGCATGGAGATTCTATGTTCTCTGAGTGTATGACCCTCCAGGAACCTCCACTTAGTCAGCAATTCAGAAGCCCTCTGCACCCTGGTCTATTGGGGTTTCATGGAGGCTGCATTACATAGGCATGGTTATTTGAATCTTTGGCGGTCAATTCAACCTTGATTCCCTACCTGCTCACTGGGCTGTCCAAAAGCCCATTAGAAATTGTCTCATCAAAACAAAGGATGTGCTTGTCACTCAGGAAATTGAAGAAGCCTTAGGATCTCTGTGTTAGGAACCAGAGTGAAACATTAAATAGAATAAAAGATTCTCCTAGCAACTCTAGAAGCGTTTTTAGGTGCTCTCTCTTGGGACCTGGGGGCAGGGATGTACACACATAAATAGACAGAGAGACATCTCAAATAGCTTAATATAAATGTGTCCTAGAATATTCTTTTCTTTTGCTGACATCACAGAGGAAGTATCCCTCAGATAAATCAATTTCCATTCATCTTTTACTATCTCAAATATCTCTGTTGGTTTCTAGAGCACTGGGAGGAAACTCCAATGGCTTCAAAAATATCTGAGTGTTAGCAAGACCACCAGTGACCCCAGAGATTAGAAAACAGTTGATCCTTTTTACTTGACACCAACTGTTTCCACTGACACTATTGATTTCACAGTTACTACAACTTTGAATTATCATTGTCATTTTATGTACTCTTTGCCTAATCCCTGTGGAGAGTTATCATCGTCAGCAACATGTCTGTTTTTTGCACTCTAAGTCCATTTCTTTGCAGACTAATGCAACTGTGTGCAATTACTACTTCCCCTTCTGCGTCCCTTTCCTTCTTATGCCTGCATGCCTCCCATCTTTTATCTTCTGATTTCTCTTCTGTAGCTGAAAATTCTCTGGACTTGTTCCTATAAATTTAAAATGACCCATGGCCTTGATGATCTCATCATCCACCAGAGAAGATTCACTGACAAACAAGCAAACATAACATGTGTTGCCCATTGCTAACACCCAAAGGGGAAATTGTCACCTCTCCAGGAATCCTGATTGTTTCCAGAGGCTAGAATGTGACAACTTGTTTTCTCTGGGCTCTCTTCCTCAGTGTCCTGCCTGACATTTTTCAGCATTCTGGGAAATAGAAGAAGTATACAAATGCTGTTCAGGTTACCGAGAATGGAAAAACCTAACAGGACCTTATCTGAGAGAACTTAACCTGAGTCACAGGTTGAGTAAGCCACAAAATAGAATTACCTAATGACTGTTCAAACTAAAAGCTAATAGTAGTAGAATGCCTATCATGTGCTGGCTGTAGGTCTTACTGTTGTAAGCTCTTTGTGTGTATTAGCCAAATTAATAATAATTATTATTTATAAATAAGGAAACTAAGTCACCGATAAGTCAAATAGACTTGCCTAAGGGCACATAGCTGGACAGTAGCAGATACTTGACCTAAAGTTAGTATGTCTTGTTGTAGACAGGGGTCTTGATTCCAAGAAATGGGAGTACCTCACACAGTATTTTATTACACAAAAGTTTCTCAGGTTGTGTGGACTCTAACTGTGTACATTAACATAAACATAGCACATAGAATACATTTATATGTACATATATATACACACACACACACACATACACATCTGCAGTATTTGTATAGCATTTAAGAATTCCCAAAATATTCTCCCAAGCATGGTCTCATCAGTCATAGCCACCACTCTAGATGTTAAATATTGTCAGAATACAGAAAGAAACAGATTTCTAAGTGTGAAGAGAGAGTTGTTCAAATTAACAGTGTTTGTAAGATTTGCCTTTAAGCCTTCTGATTGCATGACCTGGGTTTTTTTCATCACCGCATTAATATTCCTATGAAAAAGTGAAACAAAACGCAAATCAGATGACTAGAAACAGCTGGGCCTGATGTGTTTTATGGATGGTTTTTATACGTTATGATTGAAGAAACTTGTCAGTTTTTCTGTTTTCATCTAAATGGTGGAAATGATTTATATTAACTTATCTTAATTGAAGCCAATTAGATTTTCAAAGGTATTGTGGTTAAAAATATAACCACACTGTGATCTACAAATTGAAAAACCGAGTTCACTTGTATCTATCATAGCATAGAATTAGAAAGCTTATAATACATAATGACTTGTTTGATCCAGTTTCTGTCTAAAGAATTCATATTGAAGAGAGCTTGGATTTTTTTCTTTTTATAAACTGTTTCCTTTTAAAAGATGTTTTGTAAGTAATATTTCTGAACTATTTAGCATCCTTTGTGGTGATAAAAACTAAACTCAAACTGCAAATTGATAGGTCCTTTGCAAGTAAAAGTGCGAATTATAGCTTCAGGAATGATAAGTTCCAGAGTCTCAGATTTCTCCTCAGGATTCTGTGTTTTGTCAAATATTACTCCTATTTTTTCCTATAATGGTTTAAATCTAGACAAGGCAGAGAAGCTTCCTCTATATCAAGTTGGCAAGATGATCTTTCTATATCCAAAACTTTGTCCTATTAGATCAGTAACTTCAAGTGGAAACATAGAAACATTTCTCTTTCCCCAAATTTTAGAAAATATTTTTAAATTACATCTTCTTGTTCAGAAATGGGCCACCTGCCTATCCTTGAACCAGGTGGACTAGAGGTATGGTAGTTCTGGAAAAGAAATTGGGAATATTCCCAATAGAGTAAATAGGTGAATGTGTGCCGAGCAGACAAAATAAAACTTATGTCCAGCACTGTGGTTAGCAAAAGGTAACAGATGTCTACTACAATTGTGAGCCCATACATATGGAATAAGATAAATGGTTATTTTCAAGTAAATAAATCTGCTACAAAAGAAAGAATGCAACTAAAGGTAGAAAGCTAAATTTGTAGGCATTATTTAATAGCACAGTTCATTTACAATGTTTAAATCAGTAGATATTCACACTCATATTTTAAATTCAGAGTATACATATATATAGTAATATGATAGCAATAGATCTGAGTTGCTGCTAAGAAAATCTTTCTTTTAGGAGTATTTATGAATGCTTTTAAAAGCTTTCCTCAAACTGGAATGGGATATTTCATACAGGTTATAATTTAGTGTAATTTTTCTCTTTGAAAAGAAATTGTAAAACAGATATGTGATAATTTCTTGTGTTCTACTCAGTACCGACATTTATTGATATTGTTATTTTTTTATAAGACAATATGATTACTAAAGCAATTATGAAATGTACAGAGCCCAATAATGTACTTCTGACAAACTAATGACAGATTTTATTTTTCCCAATATAGCTATTAAAATTACTTAAATAATAAATATTTTCTGTCATTTATGATTGATAATACAAAAATCTAGGATTCCTAATAAATTTAAAATGTTCTCATAGAGACAGCATCACAGCTAACTAATATATCATATTATAATATATAGTTTTAACAGTATCTACGTATCTGTATAACTTGAAATTTCACACAATGGCAGTTTTTACTACTTTATTTTCAGAGTCAATCAATTTTCAACTATGGCAAGTGTAAAATCGACATAGCTGCAACATTCTGTATTAGCTTTAAATTTCCTAGCTCTATTTTTATAGGCAAACGTTTTATTCACTTTAAAAAAATGAAAAGTGGTGGGTGAAATATATCTAATATAGTCAGAACAAACATGCTGTATGTGCATGTGTGAGTTTGTGTCTGTGTGTCTATGCATATATATATGTGCAATTATCCAATTATTCCCTGTTGTGATATACTGCTCCTTTTTCCACTAGATCATTAAATGTTATACTACCAGAGAAAGGAAAACAGATATTACAATTATTTTTAAAAAAATATTTAGGGCCAGATACTGTGGCACATGCCTGTAATCCCAGCATTTTGGGAGGCCGAGGCAGGTGGATCACCTGAGGTCAGGAGTTGTCAACCAGCCTGGCCAACATGGTGAAACCTCGTCTCTACTAAAAACACAAAAATTAGCAGGGCTTGGTTGTATCCACCTGTAGTCCCAGCTACTTGGGAAGCTGAGGTAGGAGAATTGCTTGAACCTGGGAGGCAGAGGTTGCAGGGTTTCAGTGAGCCGAGATTGTGCCACTGCACTCTAGCCTGGGTGACAGAGCAAAACTCCGTCTGAAAAAAAAAATATATATATATAAATATATATATATGTGTGTGTATATATATGTGTATATATGTGTATATATATGTGTATATATGTGTATATATATGTGTATATATATGTGTGTATATATGTGTATATATATGTGTATATATATATATATATATACACACACATATATATATTTAGATCTGTAAGTATTTTTTTCCAAATTTTTTCTTTCTGTGATATAAGTTTGGGCAATGAAATGACATAATGTTACAAATTTTAGAATCGAGGTTTAAGTGTGAACATACTTCAAAAGGTCAATATGAAGACATTTGAAATGCAATGAATATCAAACATTTCATTCTTTGAGTGCTTCTGATAATTTGGAAGTGATTGTAAAATAAGAAAAATACTGGAAATTTAGTTGCTGATGTGGGTTATAGTCATAATTTTTCTTTACTATCCTAGGTAACTGATCAAATTACATAAACTATCTGAACCTCATAATAGTCTCTTCTTGTAAAGAGAATACAAGGCTTCTGAAACCACTAAATAAAACAATGAATGAAAAATGTATTATAAATGTATTGTAATTTTTTCTGATTTGTTGAATTCACTCAACTTTTTATATAAACATTATGTTTAATTTACTTTATTTTATTATTTATTTATTTATTTACTTATTTTGAGACTGAGTCTCCCTCTGTTGCCCAGGCTGGAGTGCAGTGGTGCCATCTTGGCTCATTGCAACCTCTGCCTCCCAGGTTCAAGCAATTATCCTGCCTCAGCCTCCCGAGTAGCTGGGATTACAGGTGTGCACCACCACGCCCTGCTAATTTTTGTATTTTTAGTAGAGACGGGGCTTCACTGTGTTGGTCAGGCTGGTCTGGAACTTCTGACCTCATGATCCACCCACCTTGGCCTCCCAAAGTGCTGGGATAACACTGAACCCAGCCTATGTTTAAAATTTTAAAGAACTAGGTGTTTGAGATTAATACAAAATTTAAAATTGTCTTAAGTTATTAGAAGTTTTGTGATCATCTTATATAAGATATTGATGTAAAGCATTTTATTAAGATTTCCTGGAACACATCAGGTACCATGTTTCCCCATTTTAATGAATGGGAAAACTGAGGTCCAGATGGCCCAAGGTGAAATTTCATAGTTGATAATGTTTTTGAACATTTTGATCTACTTTTTGAATGACAGTTTGATCTACTCTTCGTGAACTCTGTAATGCTTCATATAATGCTGCAGTTTTGCGACATCTAAAATAAACACATTTTTACCAAATCTTTATTAACTGTAAATACCTCACAATGATCCTTTGGGCTCTAGAGCTTATTCGAAATTTTTGAATGGAATACTACCACTGATTAAAACAGTTTCACTATTTATATTAGAAAACAAAACATTTTCTTATGCTTTAAAATATTTGTGTTACAGTTATGAAAATGACTTTCAAATAAATTTTTAACAAAAAAGAGTTATGCTAAACAAGCAAGAAAGAAAAGCAGTCAGCATTCATTCTAAAGAAATAACACAAATATCTATTAAGTGTTTTCAGCTAGATCGCAAATGCTTTTTATGAGAAAATTAATCTTATTCAGAGCATACATTAAAAAAAGGAAGCATAAGAACTTCAAATACATAGTTATTGATGTGCTGTATGCTTCATAAAGTTTATTTCTCATATCTTTTCTGCTTTTAATATAAAAGAATTATACATTAAAGTACCGAGAGCGTTTTTAGATCATTTAAAATCCCTTAAAAGCTGAGATATTCTTATAATTAATTTTCCACTGAGATGAGAATTCCAAACCTTGCAATAACTTGCAGATGGCCATTGTGCTAGTTAAGAGAACCTTTGTGCCATCTTCCAAGAATCATTTTACCCTCTAGTAAAAATTCAGGGTACGTTTATGCCTCACAATCAGGGCTGGGAGGCTAGTTCTTGGAAGGAAGTATGAGTGGGTTCCAATTTGATTTGATTTCAATGACATTTGTTGAACTTCAATTGTATTCCCCATCAGCTTGTTCTTTTTTTTTTTTGTATTAAATTTATTTTTTATTTTTTTTATTATTATACTTTAAGTTTTAGGGTACATGTGCACATTGTGCAGGTTAGTTACATATGTATACATGTGCCATGCTGGTGCGCTGCACCCACTAACTCGTCATCTAGCATTAGGTATATCTCCCAATGCTATCACTCCCACCTCCCCCCACCCCACAACAGTCCCCAGAGTGTGATGTTCCCCTTCCTGTGTCCATGTGTTCTCATTGTTCAATTCCCACCTATGAGTGAGAATATGCGGTGTTTGGTTTTTTGTTCTTGCGATAGTTTACTGAGAATGATAATTTCCAATTTCATCCATGTCCCTACAAAGGACATGAACTCATCATTTTTTATGGCTGCATAGTATTCCATGAAAAAACAAACAACCCCATCAAAAAGTGGGCGAAGGACATGAACAGACACTTCTCAAAAGAAGACATTTATGCAGCTTATTCTTTTAAATAAAAATACCCCTTGGAAGAAAGGTATTGGTAAACTCAGTTTTTTTTCTGCCTTTGTATCTTTCCTGAGTCTTAAAATGGTGACACGGGGCAATACAATTTACTCTGTGGTAGTAACAATTGGGAGAAAAAGTTTTATCATGGTACATCATGATGAACATTGTCAATGACATGCATTTTTCATTAGAACAATGAATTATGTATTCATTTTTGTGAAATAAATTACTCCAAATGTTGTAGTCATAAAACAACATGCATTTATTACCTCACAGTTTCTGTGAGTCAAGAATTTCTGACTCATAGCTTAGCTGCAGTCATCACAAGTTCTGATTGGTTCCACTTCCAAGCTTACTCAGCTAATGTTTGGCATGATTCAGCTCCTCTCATATTTCTGAATCAGACCTCAGTTCCTCACAAACTACACATAGGAGGCTTTTTTTAGTTCTTTGACACATGAGCTTTTCTATAGGTCAATTTGCAACATGACACCTTGCTTCATCAGAGTACGCAAGCGAGAGAGGAAGAGAGTACCACCAGACAGAGCAAGGTAGCAAGTGGATGCCACAGTCGTTTGTAACCTAATTCTGGAGGTGACATCATGTCACATTTGCCATATACTCTTTATTAGAAGCAGGTCACTAGGTCCAGTCCACAATAACAAGACTATTAATACCAGGAAGAGAACTATTAGGAGCTATATAAAAATCTGCCTACTACAAATAGTCTAGCATATTTTTCATCTCCATTTATACTTTATGAGAATTTCTTCAAATACCAGTGCGAAGGTAACAAATGTATTGTCTTTGATAATTAAAAAACACACACACATACTGCCAGAAATGACTTCATCACCAAATGTTATTTTTAGTAGTATTGCCAAAAACACTAGTTGTAAAATTACACACATTCTACTAACTGCTATTTTGGGACCATATTATTTGAAACAGATGATTACCAAAGGTGTTGAGATTTTTCTAGCATATTGTTTACTCAATATTTGATAAGTGTTACTGGTGCTTATTTGGAACAGAAACACTGAAGACAGGTATGAGATGCTTAGCCAAGATTTTATGATTACATGTGAAATATTTTGACATAAGCTATGTGTGGGGAGAAAGCTATTGAGATAAAAGTCAGGATTTTTTTCAAGAGGGAAGCTTATATGGTAAACCAAGCTGACTCATTACTTTAAACAAACAGATAATCTGAATATATTTTCAAGTCCTGGTGAGATCCTTGAACTTTATTATCCCCAATAACAATAAAACTCTATTATATCACTTTGAATACTGAAGTGGTAAGTTCAAAATAATATAGATGTGGCATTTGATTTATTATCCATAAAATATTTTTATTCACAAATATTTTATTAGCACTTTCTGATGGAACTAAACGCTATCCTTTGTATCACAATTTTTTGTTATCTTTTCTTTTAATGCATGTTCTTTTTGTTCTTCTAACTATAGCAAAGGACTAGCATTTGGAGATCCTGAGATTCAATTTATATGAATTTAGTCAAATCATCTCACTCTCTGGTCTTTCATTTCCTCGACTTTTAATATAGTTGTCAGACTCAGTGCTGTATTAGATCAACCTCAGATGTATCTGTTCTATGGCATTGGGAGCATCAATACCTTCAGAGAAAGATCTGTATCATTCTTCATTTATTCTCTAATGGTATTTAGTATGTGGTAGGTGCTAAACAAATATTTGGTGACAAATTATTATATTAATAAATATTAACATTATTTTGATATGCATTGGTTCCCATTGTTCTAGAAATGTAATTAATCATGTTCCACATAGAAAGGATTGTTGGCACCTAAAAGTTTGGCTTCTCTATTATTTTGGTTTACCAGGGATTATATTAATTTAACATATTTTTAATCTATTTCTTCAACTTGTGTTTATTAAATTTTTAGGTCTTTTTACCCAGGAAATATACTTCAATTTTTATAAAGCTTTTTATTCTCAGATTTAGTTCAGTTGAAAAGAAACCTTATTTTAGTAGGATTTTATTCTCTGCTTCAGGAGAGAATTTTTATCATTTATTTATTTATTTATTTATTTATTTCCTAAAGTGACTTTTCATTGTTCCTGGTTCATGACCATCTCTTTAGAACTAAGGTTGTGGTAGATGCTGGCAATCACAGAAGTTGCAAATCCACATTTCTCACAACATATTCCTAATCACTGAATGAACTAACAGATGCATGAACATGTTCCTACACAAGCATATGGTAAGCATCACAGTTGACTTAACCTTATGTTAAAAACAAATTTTTTAAAAAATTAAAAACAAATTCACCTGCTGTTACATGTTTTGAAGGCCCTTGGGAAATTTTCAGCTTTGCTCATTAACTATTCAATTAAAAAATTACTGCTAAGACAATGTGGCTAATCATAATTTGTTTTTTTCAAGCATATACAGAGAAGTGTCATTGAAGGCATTAACTAGTGAAAAATTGAAAATATCATCTAGACTTCCCATTTCAGTTCTGATATTTGAAGAGCTTAGAAGTCATCACTGTCTTTCTTACAGTTTTTGAGAAGTCCTGGTCCAAAACAAGGAAACAAGAAATGTCAAAAATAAGGAAGCTTTTTGACATGGTTAGGCTTTGTGTCCCCACCCAAATCTCATCTTGAATTATAATCCCCATAATCCAAGGGAGAAACCAAGTGGAGGTAATTGAGTCACAAGAGTGGTTTCCCCTTTGCTGTTCTTGTGATAGTGAGTGAGTTCTCATGAGATCTGATGGTTTTATAAGGGGCTCTTCCTCCCTCACTGGGTACTTCTCCTTCCTGTTGCCTGGTGAAGAAGGTGCCTTGGTTTCCCATCACATTCTGTCATGATTGTAAGTTTCCTGAGACCTCTGGAGCCATGATGAACTAAGAGTCAATCAAACCTCTTTCCTTTATAAATTACCCAGTCTCAGGCAGTTCTTTATAGTAGTATGAAATCAGACTAATATAGTCTGAGTAATCGTCACAGCCAAGAGGATCCCAAGGAAACATCACTACTAAAAGTAATGTGGTATCCAAGATAGGATTCTAAAATAAAAAAAAGATACAAACTAAATTAATTAGAATAAACTAGGTACCTTAGTTAACAATTATGTGTCAATATGTTTTCATTAACTATAACAAGTGTACCATAATAATGTAACATGTTAACAATGGGGAAGACTAAGTGAAGGGTATCTGGGAACTCTGCATGAACTTATCAATTTTTCTGTAAATAAAAAAAACTATTCTAAAATTAAAGTTTATTTAAAAAAGTTTATTTAAAAATTAAAGTTCATCAATTGGGTATGAAGTTGTCCTTTTCTAACTATTATTTTTCAGATACTTTTTAAAAATTTCATCAATGAAACTATCTTGGGAAGGACTTGTTATACTGAACCAATAGAAAATTAACAACTTTTCTACTTTGGTTTTATAATAAGCACTTCTCGGGGCTATGGGTTTATCCTATTAAACAACAGTCTCCTTTTCACTTTGCCTCAGATGTGGAATCAAAGTTGAAAAGGAAGCCCGATGCTTGTGTATTTCTCCACATCAGCACATTTCTTAGCTTGAATTTACAGATATGTCAAGACTCTAAAACATCAAATGATACAAAAGGCAAATCAGCAATCAAGACAAATCCTTCCTTTCAACAAAAACCAACACAAGTGTCACTATAGAAATGCCCTAAGAATTCAAGGTCAAAATATGGTGTCTTTAATTGTTAAGTGCTGTCAAATACGATCAAGTAAAAAAATGTGTCAAAAATTATGGTAACATGTTTCAGACACAGGCAAGATTAACCTCCCCAGAGGAATGTGAGCTGCCAAGTAACCTCAGCTTTTCCAAAAAGAAAGTGGTTTCCACTATTGGCACATACTTTTGCAATTCTTAGTAATATACATTGAATTATCTACTCTAAATGATTCTATACTCCTTCAAGAAATTATGTTATAAACACTCAATTTTAATTTTGAAACAACAGGAATTTTGCTAGTCCTATCAGAGACAGTCTTACTGGCAATAAAGGGCTGAATTAGATAAGTAAATAGTGAATACTTTGCAAATCACTGGAGTGATAACACCCTGGTAGGTGAATTACAATGCAAAGAATATGGTCCAAGTACTAAAATGAATTAATGTGGGCTTTCGTCTTTTATCTTTCTTTTTTTTTAATTGGTAGAAGTCAGATTTTGTTTTAAAAAGTCAGGATCTGTTAACTAACTAGAAAAGTTAGTTATGTTCTTAAGTGATACCCCTATATCTTGTTATTTTATTCATAAGTCTATTAAATTTTAATTTCCAAAGAAATATTACTTTCTGGGGAGGCTCCGATTATAGTTAGAACAAGTCAAATAAATATTTTAATCATTAGCCACACGAAAAATGTATGAAATTTTACATATATTAAAAATGCTCAGTTATCTTTTCAAGCACCAAAATGCCTGAACAAACAAGCTTAAAATAATGAGAAAAATTATGCAAAATACCTAAATGATTCTTATAAATTTAACTAAATAAAATCATTAAAAACATAAATTAAGTTCTCTAAAACTATTGTTTTCAGTCTGTCAAATTATCAAATTTTATATTCAAAATATTCCAAGAGAACACAACTTTTTGAGTACTTTTGTCTTATTTTAATATAATTTCTAAAATGCAGAAAAATTATCAGCATGCTACAGGAGACTCCTGAACACCCTTTATCCAGATTAACCAGCTATCTACATGTTTTCTCACTATGTGTTTATATTCTCTCTCTCTCTTGCTCTATATAATTATTTTTTCTGAACTATTTGAGACTACATTGGAGATATCATGGTCCTTTGCACCTAAACATTTCAATTTGCATTTCCCAAGAAGGACATTCTCTGACATAACCATATTAGAAAGATTAAAGTCAGAAAATTTAACATTGATACAATAATATTATCTAATTCATTGTCCATATTAAAAACCCATTAATCATTTTAATAATGTCTTCCTTTATATTTTATTACAAATTCCAGCTCAGGATCACATATCACATTTCTTTATTTTATATATTTAACATATTTTATTCTAAAATTATGAAGTCTTTCTTCTGTTTTTTCATCTTGACATTTTCAAGTTCTATCAGTTCTATCAGTTTTGGCTTTATATATTTTAACCTCTATTATTAAGTACATGTATATTATTAGTAACTCCCTCCTGAACTATACATGTTTATTGCTATTAAATGTATCTATCTGTATATATGCTCTCTGCCTTGAAATGTATTTATATGGTTATTATTTTAGCCATCTTGGCTGGTTTTATGATTAATCCTTTAATGTTTACCTTATTTTACTTTTATACTACTATGTCATTATGTTTAGAATTAATCTCTTGTAAGTAGCATCTAATTATGTCTTAATTTTTATTGACAATGCCTTTTTTTACATTGGAGTTTTTACTTCATTTACATTTTAAAGTACTATTTGCTTTGATTTCATTTACATTTAGCATACTATTTGCTATGGTTAGTATTATGTCTACCATTTTGCCATGTCATCATCTGTTTTGTTTTACTCTACTCTTCCTTTATTTCCTTGATCTGTTTTTGTCAATCAAATATGCTTAGTATTTTATTTTTATTTATTAATTAGCTATATTTTATGCATTAGTATTTAGTCATTACTTTAAGATTATAATATGTATGTTTTTCCAATCCTATTCTTATTAGAGTTAATATTGTACTAATATTAACTGTGATTAATTATAATTGAGTAAAAATATATACATGATAACATATTTATTATTTCCTATAAATTCATAAATTCAAATTACATAACCTTGTGTCATTTCCATTTATCTTGAAAAAAGAAAGTTCTTATCATTTCTCACAGTGTAGGGCATAGATCTGCTAGTGATTGATTCTATCGGTGTATATTTATCCAAAATTGTAATATTGGTCTTCACATCTGAAGAGTATTTTTCTGAATATACAATTCTGGGATGACAGTTTTATTGTTTTTTTCTTTTAGTCCATTGAAGGTGTTGTTCTTTGTCTTTTGGTTCTCACTGATTCCAATAATCAGCCAGATAATTTATATCATTGTTCCCTCATCTCTTTTTTCTGAATACTTTAAAATCTTTTTATATTTGGCTTTTAGCAGAGTGATTAGTAATTACTTAGGTTTGATTTACTTTACAAATATCTTGCTTGGGATTCATTTGGAGATATACGCGTTTCTCAAAATATGTGGCAACTTCTGTCCAACTTTTTAGTAAATACTTAAACACCACCTTTATTGTAGCATTTGATATCTTTTCAGAGCACATTGATGCTCAATTTTTTATTTCAATTTTTATTATATTCATTCCTCATATTAGTTCTAGAATTTCCATTGTTTTAAATATAGTATTTATTTCATTGTTGAGATTCTGTATCACTTCTTTTACAATGACCATAGTTTTCTTTTAACATGAACAAATTTACAAATGCTACTTAAAAGCGATTGTCTGCTAATTCTGTCATCTTGGTCATCATGGAGTCCATTTCCCTTGACTTTTTTTTTTTAATAATGGTTGATGTTTTTTGTCTGGTAGTATTTTATTGCATACTATACATTCCAGGTGATTTATTTTAAAGTTTCTGGGTTTCACTGTTTTTTTTCTGAAGACTCTTAATTTTTTATTGTTCTAACAGGAAGTAATTTAAGTGTACTCAAACTCTGAATTCAATTACCGCTGCAGAGGTTAACACATGTGACAGCCCCATTCATTCAGGCTTTCAGCTATTCCTTCTGGCTAGGAATATTGGAGTCTCCTCAAAGCCTCAAAGCATGCACACTTTAGGGATGGAGTTTTTATGCAGTTTTAAGGGTTCACCTTTCTTTAAGCTTCTACTTTTCGGATTTTCCCATTCACTTTAGATACTCTATTAGTCTCATATTCCATTCGTTGACTGTAATCTAATAAGATTGTATATGTCGCTCTGCTTCAGTTGTAGCCACCCTACACAAGACGGACTAGGAAGTGCCTACTCCATTAAGAAGCCATTTAAGTTCAAGTCTTACAGAGCTCAATTATTTTTCAAGAATCAAATCTTGTATAGTTCTTTTACTGCTTTTTTTCTTCAATAAATTCTTTTTTTTACTTTTCTTATCTAAAATGTATAACCGCCACAGGCAAAATAATTTCTTATAAAGCTACTTCATCATTACCAGTAATGTGAACTCAGTGACATTTTGAATTAGGTTCATAGGAAAGGAGGAGCAGTGTAATGGCCAAATAGAAGGCTTCATTGATTGCCCCGTACTTCAAAGACACCAATTTAACAACTCTCTACAAACACGCACAAAAAACAGCTCAACAAATCAAAAATCATATGAGCACTCACAGTACATGGTTTTAACTACATATCACTGAAAGAACCGTTGAAGATGGTAAAAAAGATTCTTGAATCACCAAGGCCACCCCTCTCCAATCCCCCAGCAATGGCCACATGGCACAGAGAGAGAATTTGAACTCTTGGGAGAGAGTGAGTGCAGCAATTGTGAGGCACTGCATTAATCTCAGTGCTTCCCCACCATAGTAGAAAGCAAAACTGGGCTGAACTCAGCTCCTGTGGAAGGAGTATTTAAACCAGCCCTACCTAGAGGGGAATCATTCATCCCAGGATTTGAGACATGATTTCTGGTAAGTTCCACCAGCACAGGCTAAAGGGCTCTGGGGCTCACAATTAACTTGAAAGGCAATCTAGGATACAAGAACTGCAACTGCTAGCTGAGTCCAAAGGATGAATTAAGCTCAGAGCCAGTGAACTTGGGGGCATGCAACCTACTGACACCAGCCAGGGTGGCTAAGGGAGTGTTTGTGCCACCCCTCCCCAAATCCTAGGCTGCACAGTTCCTGGCTTCAAAAACGACAACTTCCTTCCACTTAAGGAGAAGAGAAGGAAGAGTGAGAAGACTTTGTCTTGTATCTTCAATACCAGCTCAGCCATAGTAGAATAGGGCATCAGTCAGAAGGCCCGTTTCCAGGCCCTAGCTCTCAGATGACTTTTCTAGACACACCCTGAGCAAGAAGGAAACCTACTGGCTTGAAGAGAAGGACCCAGTCCTGGCAAGATCCATCACCTGCTAACTGAAGAGCTCTTGGGCCCTAAATAACCAGCAGTGATACCCAGATAGTATGCCATGGCCTTGGTTGATGATATTGTTTGGCCCTGTGTCACCACCCAAATTTCATCTCAAATTGCAATCCCCATGTGTTGATGAACGGACCTGGTGTGAGGTGATTGGATCATGGGGGCGGTTCCCCTCATGCTGTTATCATGTTGGTGAGTGAGTTCTCACAACTACTGATGGTTTTAAAATGTGGCACTTCCTCATGCATGCTCTCTTTTGCTGTCTTGTGAAAAAGTTGTTTGCTTCCCTTTTGCCACGATTATAAGTTTTCTGAGTCTTCCCCATTCATGCAGAACTGAACTGTGAGTCAATTAAACCTCTTTTGTTTATAAATTACTCAGTCTCAGGTAGTATCTTTATAGCAGTGTGAAAATGGATTAATATAGGAGAGACTCTGACACTTGCTGGCTTCAGGTGAGACTTAGCACGTTCCCAGGTGTGGTGGTGACAGATAGAGACTCCTTTAACTTGAGAAAAATGGAGAGAAAAAGAAAGGGGACTTTGTCTTATACCTTAGGTATCAGCTCAGCCACAGGGGGTAGAGCCCAAAATGGGCTTTTGGGGCCCCCATTTCCAGGCATTGGCTCTTGGATGGCATTTCTGAACCTGCCCTGGACCAGAAGGGAGTCCACTGCCCTGATGGGTGAGTCCCAGGTTAGGCAGCATTCACCACGATCTGACTGAAGAGCCCTTGGGCCTTTAAGTGAACCCTGGTGGGAGCCTGGAAGTACTCCCCATGGGCATGTAGCTGTGGTGGCCATGGGGAGAAGCTCCTCTGACTGTGGAAAGGGGAGGGAAGAGTACAAAGAACTGCATCTCATGGTTTGAGTGCCAGCTCAGCCATCCTACAATAGAACACCAGTAGGCTTCTCAGGTTTTTTACTCCAATTTTTGGCTCCTGGATGGCACGTCTGGACCTAATTGGGGCTTGCGGACACTTGCTGTGCTGAAGGAAAGAACAACGGCCTGACTGGCTTGTCTACCTGCTGATTGTAGAGCCCCAGAGGCTTGAGTGCAGATAGGCATTATCCAGGTAGTGGTTACAGCAGGCCTTGAGTGAGATCTAGTGCTGTGCTGGCTTCAGATCTGACCCAGTGTAGTTCAAGTGATGGTGGCCACAGGGGTGCTGCATCATTCCACCTCTGGCTTCACGCAGCTCAGAACAGAGAGAAAAACTCCATTTGTTTCAGAGAAAGTTAGGAAAGAGAACAAGAGTCTCTGCCTGGTAATTAAGAGAATTGTTCTGGATCCTATCCAAGGATATCAAGGCCGTACCTCTACCAGTCTACAAGAACCAAAATGTTACTGGGCTTGGGGTGTCCTCTAATGCATATATGGCTTAGATCACAACACCTAAGTCCTTTTAAATACCTAGAAAACCTTCCTGAGAAAGACGGGTACAAAGAAGCACAGACTACAAAAACTCTTCAATGCCCAGACACAGAGAAATATCCTTAAGCATCGAGACAATCCAGGAAAACATAACCTCATAAAATAATAAGGCACCGGAAACCAATCCTGGAGAAACAAAGATATGTCACCTTTCAGACAGAGAATTCAAAATAGCTGTTTTAAGGAAACTCAAAGAAATTCAAAATATTACAGAGAAGGAATTCAGGATTCTGTCAGACAAATTTAACAAAGTGATTGAAATAATTTCAAAGAAACAAGCATAAATTCAAGAGTTGAAAAATGCAATTGGCATATTGAAGAATGCATTGTCTTTTAATAGCAGAAATGATTAAGCAGAAGAAAGAATTAGTGAGCTTGAAGATAGGTTACTTAACAATACACAGTCAGAGGAGACAAAAAAAAAAGAATGAAAAAGAATGAAGCATGCCTAGATCTAGAAAATAAAAAGGTCAAATATAAGACTTACTGGTTTTAAAGAGGAAGTAGAAAACAGATATGGATAGAAAGTTTATTCAAAGGGATAATAACACAGAGTTTCCCAAACCTAGAGAAAGATATCAACATCCAAGTAAAAGAAGATTATAGAACACCAATCAGATTTAACCCAAAGAAGACTACTTCAAGGCATTTAATAATCCAACTCCCAAAGGCCAAGAGTAAAGACAAGATCCTAAAAGTGATAAGAAAAAAGAAACACTTAACATATTGACAATGGAGATTCAATATGTCTGGCAGCAGACTTTTCAGTGGAAACCTTATAAGCCGGGGAGAGTGGCATGATATATCTAAAGTGTTGAAGAAAAAAAAAGTGGCACCATAGAATAATATATCTGGTGAAAATATTCTTCAAGCATGAAGGAGAAATAGACTTCCTCAGACAAACAAAACTTGAGGGATTTAATCAAAACAGTTTCTGCCCTACAAGAAATGCTAAAGGGAGTTCTTGACTCAGAAAGTTCACTCAGAAATAAAAGGGTGTTAATGAGCAATAAGAAATCACCTGAAGGTAGAAAATTTACTGGTAATATTAAGTACACAGAAAAACACAGAGTAGTATAACATTGTGACTGTGTTGTATAAACTACGTCTTACCTTAAGTAAAAAAACTAAATGATGAACCAATAAAAAATAATAACTACAATAACTTTTCAAGACAAAGTACAAGAAGATATAAATAGAAATAGCAAAAGGTTAAAAAGTGGAGGGACAAAGTTAAGTTGTAGAATTTTTATTGGTTTTCTATTTGCTTGCTTGTTTGTTTATGCATCCAGTGTTAAGCTGTTATCAGCTTAAAATAGTGGGTTATGAGATAGAATTCACAAGCCTCATGGTAACCTCAAATCAAAATAATACAACAGATATACAAAAAATAAAAAGCCAGACATTAGAACATACTACCAGAGATAATCAACTGCAGTAAAAGGAAGATTGGAAGAAAGAAAAAGGAGGAAAAGACCACAACACAATCAGAAAACAAATAGCAAAATGACCAGTTTAAGGCTTTGCTTATCAATAATAACATTGACATGGTTTGGCTGTGTCCCCCAGAATCTCAACTTGAATTGTAGCTCCCATAATTCCCACATGTTGTGGGAAGGACCCACTGGGAGATAATGGAATCATGGGGGCAGTTTCTCCCATCTGTTCTCATGGCAGTGGATAAGTCTCATGAGAGCTGATGGTTTCATAAGGGGAAACCCCTTTCACTTGGTTCTCATTCTCTCTTGTCTGCCACATGTAAGATGTGCCTCTCACCTTCTGCCATAATTATGAGGCCTCCCTAGCCATGTGTAGCTGAGAGTCCATTAAATTCTTGTTCTTTATAAATTACGCAGTCTTGGGTATGTCTTATGAGCAGCATGAAAATGGACTAATACAAACATTGAATGTAAATGGACTAAACTTCCCAATCAAAAGACAGGGTGGCTGAATGGATTAAGGAAAAAAAAAACAAGACCAAAAGATCTGTTACCTACAAGAAACACATTTCATAGACTGAAAATAAAGGGATGGAAAAAGATATTCCATGCCAATGGAAACTAAAATAAAGCAGATGTAGCTATATTATATAAAGAAAAATAAATTTCAAGACAAAAAACTGTAAGAAGAGACAAAGAAGGTCACTATACAATGATAAAGTGGTCAATTCAGCAAGAGGGCTTAACAATTTTAAATATATGTCTATATATATGCACCCAGCCCCGAAGCACCCAGATATACAAAGCAAATGTTATTAGAGCGAAAGACAGAGATAGACTCCAACACAATAGTAGCTGGAGTCCTCAATACTCCACTTTCAGCACTGGACAGCTCTTCGAGGCAGAAAATCAACAAAGAAACATTGGACTAAATCTGCACTACAGATCAAATGGAGCTAATAGATATTTACAGAACACTTCATCCATCAGCTGCAGAAGACACATTATTTTCCCAGCATATGTATAATTCTTAATTATAGACCATATCTTAGGCCACAAACAAGTTTTAAAACTTTCAAAAAATTGAAATAATATTAAATTAGGTTCACATGCTAATCTAGTCAATCATCCAATATGGCACAGTTTTTAAACATTAAAACCAGTTTCATTAACAGACATATGCACACTGTTCTAAATTTAAGAGTAATAAAGTATGGATTTGATTTCCTCCTTAATTTTTGCATTTATATTTAAATTTGTAAGTAATTAGAAGATAACTAATCTCTAAGAAAACTTACCATCTCAGGCAAGATGAGAATCTTATTCCAGACTAATTGAGCTTCCTATGTCATGTTAATTATTCATGACAAGACAAAAGTGAAAACCATGCTATGGGTTTATATACATCAAACCTGGAAACAAGGGCTCAAGAAATTAGGTTACATATTTCTACAATGATTCTTGATAAGCTACAAAAGTATTCACGTTGAAGTTTTTTTAAGGCATTGTAGAGATGCTGGAGGTCCATTTCTTCTTGTAGATAAACTTTCACCATTGTAATTTCTGTCTCCTGGTTTAAGAGATATCCTTAAACCTTACTTAGAATGCCATCTGCATTCATATTCCTACACTTACCAACTCTTCAACTAATAATTTCGAAGTCTGTTGGAGTTCCTCATCATTTAAATTTTTTTCTCTAGCCATAAATGTTAACATTAAATTTAAATGTGCTATTTTTTTATAAAAGTAGTTTAAATGCATTTAATTAGATCCCAAATACCTCTATGCCTGCTTCTTTTCTACAAGTCTAAAGTTATGTTAATAATATTATGGATAGTTTATGTGGGATAAAATATAGATACACATTATTTATGATAATAATTGCTTTCATTGAACAAGCACTTGTAAGACATAAGTATATTTATCAGTAATTTGGTAATATTCTTCACAACAAAGGAGGTACTGCTATTACCCCTATTTTATGTATAGTGCAAAGAGAAAATAAAAACAGTTCACAGACGTTGTGAAATAACAAAGATCAACAGTACATCACGTCCCAG
Organism: Homo sapiens; assembly: GCF_000001405.40. NCBI lineage: Eukaryota > Metazoa > Chordata > Mammalia > Primates > Hominidae > Homo > Homo sapiens. The sequence continues at coordinate 29,805 of NW_021159994.1, read as the reverse complement.
GTAGGGGGCAGGTGCAGAACCAGAGGATGTAACAGATTTGATGACCAGAAGAAAGATCCCCTGCTGAAGGAACTAGGTCATAATCAGAGTGTCAGGTCAAGTGTTTAGGCATATGGCAACAGGATAGAGAATGTTATTTCAAACATAGTGCAAATTTGGGGACTGTAGCTCAATAATGGCTCATGTCTAGTTGCTAGAATTAAGGGATTAGATAAAATAGAAATGCAACAATTTTGAACAATTTGAATCCATAAATAGTGGACAGAATTTAACAGTTGGAAGTGCAGTTGCTGTAAGTGAGAAAATCGAAGGTGTGCGAAAACAGTTAGCCACATAATTTATTTTTTGAAATGAATCATTTTTCATGAAAAAGATACATATACAAAATCAATTTGCAATAGTTAAATATAAATACTGATATTTTTACTAAAAGCAAGGAGTTAAATGATCCCAACTAGTTAAAAATTAAACCAGGTTTTATCATTGTAACTTATAATCCTTTCATCAATGAAGAAAAATTAGACCATGCAATGTATATGCCTAAGCATAAGACAAAACACCAGTAATCACATATATGATTAAAAAGAATAATTGTTAAAACATCTTGTTAAGTAAAGTGAAAGAAAATTTAAATAAATCTGCAATGCAGTATGAGTCTTGTTTGTGGAGTATTAAACAATCTATTTAAAAAATTGGAGTCCTTAAGCACTGGATGAAATGAAAATAATTGAGTAAACTTGTTTCTAAACTGCTGCTGAAATTAATTCAAATGTTGTGGGGAGGATGCGGTAAGTAGAATGAATATCTATATCCTCATAAAATGACATGCATTTATAGAAAATGATTACTATGTAAGTAATGGCATTTTAAAATCACAGTTCTGAATCATGCTACAGATTATGTTATGTTTTTTAAATATAGAAGCATAAGATAGGTAAGATATAAATACTTTTTCAGAAAACTGAATACATTAGATATATGTTAATATATGCACATATATTGGACATATTGAATATAATAGAATACTTATTTTAACATATGTATATCATGCTCTGTGTTAGGGTAAATTATGCGATATACTTTATTGCATCAACTTTTCTAAAATGTGATTTTTAAGTTTGAAATAATCATTTAGATAACTGTCATTTATGCATTGACTTTCATGTAACACCAGCCAGTAATGCTGCTTTTGCAATCATTTTTCCACACTCTAGTTTACAATACTTTAAAAGTGCTATGCACATATTAGGTCAGCAAATATATGTTGCAGGAATGAATTAATAGATGAATAAATGGGTTTATGAGGTACTAGGGATGCTTTCTCTATCTACAATATGTTTCCTTCTAATCACTGATAATTAAATCTCTATTCATTCTATTGTCGTTGTTGAGACAGAGTCTTACTTTGTTGCCCAGGCTGGAGTGCAGTGGTGCGATCTGGGCTCACTGCAACCTCTACTCTTGGGATTCCCACTGCCTCACCCTGCCTTCAGAAAAACACAGTTTTCTCTGTCTTCTACAACACTATATAGCTTGATTTTTTTTCTTGTCTCACTATCTCTTCTCAGTCTTCCTTACTTGCATTCATTCCTTCAGCAGTCACCAATAGTCTGGATACATCTTCTCTTTGTATGTAGATATCACTAGAAGGTACCTTCAGATTACCATGTCTAAAAGAGTACTATTGGTTTTTACCAAAAAAATTCTCTCAAGATGCAGTCTATTCATGTCATCTCCAACTTATTAAATATAATCACTATCCAGTCGTTTGTATGGTTAAAAAACGGCATCATCTATGATTCCTCTATACCTTCTGTATCTTCTCTAACTTCAAAACAAATATCCAATCTGTCTGTTCCTCAATGTTAATATTTGTGCCAGCCTAACATCCAAATGCAACTCCCTCTAACATCACTCTCCTCTTGTATGTAATCCAGTAACCATTTTTTTTCTTTTTTCAAAATATTCTAAGCATATTTTTTGTTTATTCTCTGGTCATTTACACTTAATGATTCTTTCTTCCAGAAATACTGTCTGTAAAATACTATAGTTTCATTTTTTATATTCATATTTTCAATTGAATGTCTTCCCAGGGAAAATGCATTCAGATTACCTTAGCTTGTACATTTCTCAAGCCATGTTACATATTTTATACTGCTTAATACTTCTGAAAGCCACAACATTAGTTATTTTAATTTTTTAACATATATAGTATTTATTTGATTTAGCAGCAGTGAGAAGGCAGGGATTCAACCTGTCTTCTTCACCTTTTAATTCACTGTGCCAGGACCAGTGCCTGACACATAACAGGTGCTTGATAAATATTTGTTGACTAAGAAAAAAAGAGTAGGCAATAAATTTTAGAGGTGAGAAATTTTTGAAAATGTTTGAGTTTGAGAAACTTCCTTTTTGAAAACAATTATTTCTACACCAAGCATTTATTATGAAAACATTTAGCAGTAATATTTTACTATCTTAGAGAATAATGAGTAAACATGTGTTTAAATAACGTTGGACTTTTTAAGTATCCAAGACAAGTTCTTGGAAAAATGGTTGCTGTATAAATACTATTTTCCTCCTCGAATGCTGTCTGCTTCACCATATATAGCCCTGTAAGCTGAATTGCTTCTCTTTCTCCCTCTTACTAGGCTTCATATTGTTAATCGGTTAGTTTTTTTCTGTCTCAACATTTTCTCTGTTCTTTCAATTCTTCCTTCTGTGTACAAATATTTCAGAAATCAGTCTCATATTATAAATAGAATAACAATCTGCCTTCTTGAATACACCCTCCATCCTTTTTCTTGCTCTTCTTCACTAAGCTTCCTGAAGAAAATATTTATAAAATATTTCCATTTTCATAGTTGACAGTCCTCATTTACTCAAAATCTCTTTAATATTACATGTCTGCCGAAGTTCCAATTATTTCTTTGTGAAATTCAGTGTTTTCTTTGTGGCCACCTTATGTCTAATGCTGCAATATTCAACACCGTTAATTTAATTTCTCTCTTGTCACATATAGCCTCTTCACCTACTGGGTTTTTTAAATTCTTTTCTCTCTTTGGCATCGTGCTATACTAGTTTTACTATTACCACTTTTTCTGACCAAATTAGCATCCTTTATGGCTCTTTCTTGCTGTCTCTGCATATTGTGGGGACCTCCTAATATATTTATTCTCTTGCCTCTTCTTTTCTAAGTTAATATGACATCAACTTTCATGGCTAAAGCTAATGTCCACAGGCTTGAACTCCAAACTGTAAATTTGTGTTTCCTACCTCACTAGGACACTGTGTAAACAAACTTCCAAACACCTGGCAGATGCATCTTCTTGAATGGATAAAGATAAGAATAGGTATTCAAAATGTCATCTTCAATTTTTCTGTAATACCCCTTTAAAAATATCTATTTTTCTCTAAGAGATTTTCAAAAGAACTTAATATTTACTTTCTCAGAAAAAAAAGCTATATTGAATAAAATTTCATCATAATCTCTAATTGCAAATTATATATGACTTAAGCTTTAATCATACCCATGACTGAGAAGCCTGTAAGAAGTTTGCAGACACTAAACACTTTATTTAAACCCCAATTAGTTTCCAACATCATTTCTTTCCAAAAGCCACCAGGGAGTGAGTTTTCTGAAGTAGAACAAGCCTAATTATTTCAGCTACATTCTTAATACTCACTAAATTTTACCACAATGAGGTCCTTAAATTCTAAATGACTTAACTATTTTAGAATCTTCTGGCCTAAAGGTAATATCAATAGAAGCCTTTAATGATCTAGACCAGAAACAATGGGACATGATTTGATGTTATACAAAATTGATATTCACATTGATATAATGATAGAGTTTTCTTAACGATTTCCATGGAAATATATTTCAGGCCTAAATTATTAATGAAATCAAGATCTCAAAGCATTCTCTTGGATTCTGAATCATGATCAGCAATCCTTCTGATTTTATATTACTTTCACATGTAATATGTGAAAAATCTTTTCTACACCATAGTATGTTACTCTTCATTAGGATAATACACAAAACTTATGTTAATGGTTCAATTTACAATGGATGAATCTGGATAAGAGAATAATAATCCTTTATGACTCTTGCCACACACTTTCAACTTTTCCACAGTTTCTTAATATACCTTGTTTTCCTGCGCAGATGACTCACATTTGCTTTTGATTATAGTACAAATTTTGATTATAGTATAAATTTGACATATTAAAAATCAGCCATACACCAGGGAAGAGAGGTATTTTGAAAGTAGAGTCCAGGCCTGGTGTGGTGTCTCACGCCTGTAATCCCACCATTTTGGGAGACCAAGGCAGGAGGATCACCTGAGGTCAGGAGTTCAAGACCAGCCTGGCCAACATGGTGAAACCCGGTATCTACTGAAAAAATACAAAAATTAGCCAGGCGTGGTGGCGGACACCTGGAATCCCAGCTACTCAGGAAGATGAAGGCAGAAGCAGGAGAATCACTTGAGCCCAGGAGGTAGAGGTTGCAGTGACCAGAGATTGTGCCACTGCATTCCAGCCTGGGCAACAGAGCGAGACTCTGTCTCAGAAAAAAAAAAAAAAAAAAGAAAAGAAAAGAAAAGAAAAGAAAGAAAGTAGATTTATTTACATTGCTGGCATGGTAATGAGGCTTTTTTAATGGTAACATTCTGGGATATTTTGTTTTATAAGTTTGATAAGCTCTGGTCTCCTTGCCCTTCTGAAAACATTTTTTACACTAATAATATTGGGACAAAAAGGCAGTCATTTATTCGTTCAAAAGAAAATGAAATAAGCTGCATTATACAATGGGCATTAAAGATACGCTTCAAAAATTTCAAGAGCCAGAATCAGACTTTCACCAATTGACTGACAACTACCTCAAGGCTGAGACACAGTGTCTTTTGAAAATGTATGTGATTATTTATTTATTTATCACTTTTTATTATTAACTGGGGATGCTCATTGATTTTGCCTCTAGGTAAATATACAGAAAGAAACTCAGCTTTAATTACTTCTCTAGCTGATTGATCCTTTCATGTCATTCAGACAAAAGACTGAATAAACAGGCTGACTTCATACTTTGATTCATAGGTCAAAGCTCAGTGTCTCTCAGAAGCAATTTCAGATCTGTGAAGTCCACGATAGAAACAACTCTGCCTCACTGCAGTACACAAAGTTTTCTGTTTGGTTTGGTTTGGTTTTTAACAGTAAAAATACTTTTAATACCATCTGAAGAATTCTACTTTGAGGTAATAAGTGCAGATGATAAGTACAGGAGATTAGGAGAGATAGGTACTACTAAAGAATGTAATAATAATAACAATAGAACTATGACTATTTATCAAAGGTTTACTATGTGCTAAATATGTTTTAAGCTTATTTCAAGCTTAAGTAGTTTAATCTTTTACAGAGACCTTATGAAGTGCTATTATTCCCTTCTTACAAATGAGGAACAGAGGCACAGAACAGCTGTTCAACTTGCTCCAAATCACTTCACTAACAGTGGGAAGTCTGGGTTTGCTACCCAGTTAGGCTATGTCCAGATTTTGCAATTATTGCAATTATCAGTGGCAACTTCCAGTTTGGATTTTATAAGGGTAACACAATGTTTTTCAACTTACACCTTTGCAGTTAAGAATTATTCAACGTCACTCTATTGTTTCAGGTATAAACTTTATGCTGGAGTACTATTAATTCTTTCTAATATTACATTCCATGTATGCTCATTCAACTCTGTTTTATTGATTTTTTTTTAATTTCTAAACCCATGACCTCTGTGATGGTTAATTTTAAGTTGTCAACCTGATTTGGCCGGGGAGTGCCCAGGAATTTGGTCAAACATTACTCTAGGTGTTTTTGCTAGGGTGTTTTGGATGGGATTAACATTTTAGGCAAAGCAAATTGTCCTTCATAACGTGGGTAGGCTTCATTAAATCAATTGAAGAAATGGAGCAAAAAGACTGACATTACCTGCAGCAATTATACGTGTGAGTGTGTGTGTGTGTATGTATTTATATATATATATTTATATATTATACATTTATATATATTATATAATTATATACGTATTATATATTTATATATCATATATAATTATATATATTATATATTTATATATATATAATTATATTTATTATATATTTATATATTATATAATTATATATATTTTATATTTATATATTATATAATTATACTTATTATATATATTTATTTATATTATATATATTTATATATAATACATATTTATATATATTATATATTATATACATTATATATAAATATATATAATATATATTTATATTATATATTTATATTATATATATTTATATATAATATATATTTATATTATATATATTTATATTATATATTATATATAATATATATATATTATATATATATAATATATATTATATATATAATATATATTTATATTATATATATTACATACTATATATATTTATATTATATATTTATATATATATATTTATATATCATATATTTATATTATATATATATTTATATATCCTATATTTATATTATATATATATTTATATATCCTATATATTTATATTATATATATATTTATATATCCTATATATTTATATTATATATATATTTATATATCCTATATATTTATATTATATATATATTTATATATCCTATATATTTATATTATATATATATTTTTATATCCTATCTATTTATATTATATATATATTTATATCCTATACATTTATATTATATATATATTTATATATCATATATTTATATTATATATATACTTATATATCATATATATTTATATTATATATATTTATATATACTATATATTTATATATAATATATATTTATAGTATATATATTTATATATAATATATATTTATAGTATATATATTTATATATAATATATATTTATAGTATATATATTTATATATAATATATATTTATGGTGTATATATATATTATATATAAATATATATTTATATCATATATATTATATATAATATATATTTATATCATATATATTTATATATAATATATATTTATATCATATATATTTATATATAATATATATTTATATCATATATATTTATATATAATATAAATTTATATCACATAAATTTATATATAATATATATTTATATAATATATATTTATATATAATATATAGTTATATCATATATATTTATATATAATGTATATTTATATCATATATACTTATATATAATATATAGTTATATCATATATATTTATATATAATATATAGTTATATCATATATATTTATATATAATATATAGTTATATCATATATATTTATATATAATATATAGTTATATCATATATATTTATATATAATATATAGTTATATCATATATATTTATATATAATATATATTTATATCATATATATTTATATATAATATATATTTATATGTAATATATATAATATATAAATATATATAATATATATTTATATATATTATATATTTATATTATATATTTATATATATATTTATATTATATATATTTATGTATAATATATATTTATATTATATATATTTATGTATAATATATATTTATATTATATATATTTATGTATAATATATATTTATAAATAATATATATTATAAATAATATATATTTATATATAATATATATTCATAAATAATATATATTTATATATAATATATATTTTATATTATATATATTTATATATTATATATATTTATATATAATATATATTTATATTATATATATTTATATATTATATATATATAATATATATTTATTTTATATATATTCATGTATAATGTACATTTATATGTTATATATATTTATATATAATATATATTCATATTATATCTATAATATATATTTATCTATTATAGATATAATATATATTAATCTATTATAGATATAATATATATTTATATATTATATATAATATATTTTTATACATTATATATAATATATATTTATACATTATAAATTATATATAAATATATAATGTATAATATATAATATATAATGTATAAATATATATTATATTTATATAATATATAAATATATGTTATATCTATAATATATAAATATATATTATAGATATAATATATATTTATTTATATATTATATATTATATACATTTATATATATTCATATATTATATATATTTATATATATTTATATATTATATATTTATATATAAAACATATTTATATATAAAACATATAAATATATATATTTATATGACATATATTATATATAATATATATTTATATTACATATAATATATATTATATATGATATATGTCATATAAATATATATATTATGTATAATATATAATATTTATATTATATATTTATATATAATGTATATATATATTTATATATATATTTTATTTATATATATATATTTTATATATATATATTTCTAGATACATGTATCTCTCTCCGGAAAACTGCCTTTGGACTTCATCTTTACTATTAGCTTTTCTGGATCCCTGGGCTCCAGGCTTCAGACTGGAACTGCATTATTGGCTTTTCTGGATCTTGAGCCTGCCAACCCACACTAAAGATTTTGATTTGTCAGTATCCAGAATTGCATGAACCAGTTCCTTTTAATAAATCTTTTTTTCTATCCAGAATTGCATGAACAAATTCCTTTTAATAAATCTCCTTCTATATATACATATGAATACATACTGTATTGGTTCTGTTTCCCTAGAGAACTCTGAATAATAAAATATCTCTTCATTGTTGCCGTGCATGGTATGCGAAATAAACGTTCTTACATTTGCCATGATCTGGTAACATTTAAAGTAGTCAGTATTTTTTTTTTTTTTTTTGAGATGGAGTCTCGCTCTATTTCCCAGGCTGGAGTGGTGACAATATATCAGCTCACTGAAACTTCCGAGTTCCAGTTTCAAGTGATCCTCCCACCACAGCCTCCCTAGTAGCTGAGACTACAGATGCCCACCACCATGCCCAGCTAGTATTTGTCAAATATATGTTAACTTAGGTGCCTAATATTTGAACTCGAGAAACCCCATCGAGATATTCTACAGTCTGCTGTTACCATTCCAAAGCTAATTGCCTTATGAAATACAAATTTAACATTTATATAATGTGTGTGGGCATGTGTATATGTGTGTGTGTAAAAAGTCTACTTATAACCTACATAAGTAAAAATAATGTCTAAGGAAACACAGTTTTTATAAAAAATAGATTTAGAAATGTCTTTTTCATTATATATCTTCTAAAGGTTTTATTCAGCTCTTTCTATGCCACAGGTTTCATGTCATATGTGTATGAGCATCTGCAACCAGTGACTCAAAAACTACACCAACTTGAGACTAAGTGGTTGCAAAGTCCATTGTTATCCTCTTGTGGAAGTTAACTATTCAGTTGATTGTCAAACCTTACCCATTATCAGCCCTAAAAATAAAAATAATGATATATCTGCAGATGGCCTTTTCATTGTAAGTAACAGGAATTTGACTTGCTCCAAAGTACACCTTATTTTTAAAATGTTCCGTATATATATTTTTAAAGAAGCTGCTGCCAGTATAATTCCCTGTGGTGGTCCTTTGGTAACAGACCAAGAAACAATTTTAAGTGCTGAAAAACTGAGAGATGTTGACAGGGTCACTTCAAAGAAACTCAAGGGATTAAAAAAATAATATGTTAACTTTTTTCTTCAGTTTCTGAAAATATGTTATAACCAAAATTCATTAGCCTATTTTTTAAAGCTTATTTTGTAGACAGAACACAAGACAAAATAAAGAGAATCTAAATAACTTCATATGACTCTTTGTATTATGTACAATAGGTTGAAACATTACTTTCTGGGACTTTTGTAAGAACAACTTAGAAGAAAATTTATTCTAAGTACATCCTGCATACATTCCAGAATTATTCAGTGACTGCATCATAGACAGTGTTTAGATTCTGTAAATACGATGGTAAGCAATATAATCATGTTTCCTACTCTCATGGAACTTACAAAACTATTAGAGGAGAATATTTCATAAATATAGAATTACAAATTGTGAAAGGGAAGAATGAGGAAACTGGAAGTAAAGAATAATGGATAGGGGTGGTAATTAAATGATATGAGTCGGGAAGGTCTTTTGGGGAGATGAAAGCTGGCTGAGACATTATGAGACATTAGAAACAAAAAGGTGAGCCACAACACTGGAGTGAGTCCTTGCATATGGGGTGTGGATACTGTATCTACAGGCAGAAAAAACAGTCTAAGCCTAAAGGACAGCATTCTTGGCATGTTTATACAACTGAATGGAGGACAAAATGTATGCTAAGTAAAGGGAGTAAGACTAGAATGACAATGTTATATTTGCATTAAACAATCAAGTTACCTTTAAGAATATTTTAAAATTAAACATATATTATAATATATAAATATTATACTAATATGTATTATAATATATAAATATTACAATAATATATATTATAATATATAAATATTATAATATATATTATAACATATAAATATTATACTAATATATATTATAATATATAAATATTATAATAATATATATTATAATATATAAATATTATAATATATTATAACATATAAATATTATAATAATATATAAATATTATAATAAATAAATATTATAATAATATATAAATATTATAATAATATATAAATATTATAATATACATTATAATATATAAATATTATAATAATATATAAATATTATAATATACATTATAATATATAAATATTATATATTATAATATACATTATAATATATAAATATTATATATTATAATATACATTATAATATATAAATATTATATATTATAATATACATTATAATATATAAATATTATATATTATAATATACATTATAATATATAAATATTATATATTATAATATATAATATCATATTACACATAATGCATATGTAACATATCATATATTATATATTATAAATATCATAAGTATATATTACATATAAAATATAAAAATATATTACATATAATATTTGATATATACTATATGATATATTTACATATATAATACATAAATATATATGAATATTGTGATATATATATAAGGGGAAAAAAGAGGAAAGATTTTTGATTACTAACAGACTTTATTTACATAACAAGGCCACCTTTTTGCAACCCAGGACAAACTGAAAGAGCAATGGCTGTACTTTTGAAATAGCAGCAATTTGTCCTAGGTGAAACATGGTAATGAGATTTTAAAAGATTTTTTTTAAGGAAGCTCAGTGGTAAAAAATCAGCTTAATTAAAAGCTAATATCCATGATGTGTGTTTGCATGTGTGCATATGTTTGTGTATTGTATTTAAAAGGCCTTCATGTTTTTGCTTTTGTTTTTCTCCTAGGACTTTGTCTTTTTTTGAGCAACAGTTTTTTTCTTCTCAGTTGACTGAATTATGTTTTCTTCATTTGCTTCTGCTGTCTCTTCTTTCTCTTGCACCCTCTGCTGAATCAGGGACATAAAATAGTTTATAATAGCCTGAGGTTCCTTAAAGAAAATAAAGGTACCAGACTCCCTTTGGGGAAGAAACCTGTTTTTCCTTGTGGAACCCCAAGAATGTAAACAGAGAAGTTCATCTTAGCTCTTAAACTGCTTACTTGTACTGTGTTAACTGTTTCCTTTTTCTTTGCCTAAAATAGTTATTGCAACAGAGGTTACTCTTAGGTTTTTAAAGAAGAATATGGTTTAGACACTTAGAAATGTTTTTGTTTTAAAAAAAATGTTAAGTGCACTGTAAAAGCATCACGCGGTCTAATCTCATAAAAATTATTCCTTTTTGGAAACCCAGGATTCAGTGTGGGCTCTGACCAGGGCTCAGAGACCCAGTTAAAAGATGGATAGTCCCTATGTAAATAAAATCGGTCTCCTTGTACAATCTTATGATACATTTCTATACTTTTATGTTTGATTTGGCATCCATCTTTAATCTCCCTCTAATACCACCAGACTTTTTCTCTCTCTATCTTATTATGTAAATTTTGCTATTTGATTTTCACCTGAGCTGTTTCCTTTAATATGCAAATTTAATGTAATTTAGCTGACAACTGTCTAGACTTGTGAATCTGAAAGTCTAAGATAGGAAAACAAAAGGTGTTTATAAATCTATAAGATGTACTTCTATTGGCATACCTAATATGTCTATGTATGTATGTATTGGATACACAATTTTTCACTACTGAAAATATATAAAAGAACTCTAATTAATGGGCTAAGAAAATAAAAGTGCTTCATGTATGTTTATTGCAGCACTATTTACAACAGCAAAGACTTGAAACCAACCAAAATGCCCATGAAAGATAGGCTGGATAAAGAAAATGTGGCACATATACACCATGGAATACTATGCAGCCATAAAAAAGGACGAGTTTGGCCAGGAGCTGTGGCTCATGCCTGTAATCCCAGCACTTTGGAAGGCTGAGGCAGGTGGCTCATGAAGTCCAGAGATCGAGACCATGCTGGCTAACATGGTAAAACCCCATCTCTACTAAAAATACACACACACTCACACACACTCACACACACACACACACACACAAAATTAGCCAGACATGGTGGCAGACGCCTGTAGTCTCAGCTACTTGGGAGGCCGAGGCCGAGGCAGGAGAATCATGTGAAGCCGGGAGGCAGAGCTTGCAGTGAGCCAAGATTGTACCACTACACTCCAGCCTGGGCAGCAGAGCAAGACTCCCTCTCAAAAACAGCAACAACAAGAACAACAACAACAAAGGATGAGTTCATGTCCTTTGCAGGGACACAGATGAAGCTGGAAGCATCATTCTCAGCAAACTAACACAGGAACAGAAAACCAAACACCTCATGTTCTCACTTGTAAGTGGGAGTTGAACAATAAGAACACATGAACACAGGGAGGGGAACATCACACACGAGGGCCTATCGTGGGGTGGGGGACAAGGAAAGGGAGAGCATTAGGACAAATACCTAATGCATGAGGGGCTTAAAACCTAGATGATGCGTTGATAGGTGCAGCAAACCCCCATGGAACATGTATACCTATGTAACAAACCTGCACGTTCTGCACATGTATCCAAGAACTTAAAGTAAAATAAAATAAAATAAAAAGAAATAGACCATTGGCAACATCCTATAACTTCTAGATTTAACAGGTAATTAAAGAAAAAGAAATAAAAAAAGTGCTTGCATCAAGCACTTTATCATAAAAAAAGACTAGTCAAAAGCTTTTTCAAATTTACATAACAAGTAAAATCTTTAATGAATAAGCTAGCTTTAAATTATTGGTAAAGTAATACTAGAAATGTCTTAAGAATTGCCGGCATACATTTTTGTTTGCAATTATCCATCAAGCAGTTTGATACTTATCCCTGCCAAATACTGTAACATGTCAAAATTTGGCATATGGATTACAAAACTATACACCTAGCCCAAGACAGAAAGATCTTCACTGTGTAATCTTTAATAAATAAGACATTTATATTGGTTTAATAAAAAATAGCTACATCTTGAATTTAGCAACATTACCATAACTTTAACCTTGTGGCTTTAGGTGGTCTAGTCCATAAACAGTATGGTTCGTTTTGGGAAAGGACTGTTATCATCTCCGTTTCAAAGCTAAACTATAAACTAAGTTCCTCACAAAGTTAGTTCAGCCTACACCCAGGAATAAACAAGGACAGCTTGGAGGTTAGAAGCCAGATGGAATCAGGGAGGTCAAATCTTTTTCACTATCTCAGTTATAATTGTGTGCAATATGGTTCCATAACTTTAAATAATGACAATCAAAGATATTATCAATAATTTAGGTAAACAACTAAAATAAAATAATTAGGAAAAAATAATAGAATAGATATTTGTAGACAAACTCATCATAATTTAGAATTTAAAGTTATATTAAATTAAATAATACATATGCCTTTATCTGTGTATTTTCTCTTAAAAGTATATTTGTAGGAAAACACTCTTTAAAAAATTGTGTCCTTAAAAAAAAGTGAACTATTTTTATCTATTTAAAAGCTTATTTAAATGTCATGTATAAAAATGAGGTAAAAGGCACCAGGAAATAAAAGAAAGAAAGTTGTAAAAAATATAGAGGGTTTTTTTTGGTAAAAAAGCTTAAAGGGAAATAATTTCAGATAAGAAAGGCTCTTGTATGGTAAATTTAGTCTTAGAGTAAAATGACTAGTTGTTTTAAAAAGTGGGATGTTCAGGACAAACCAGAAAGTCCAAGCATATCATGAACGGTCAGTGTAAGTCGCAATAAGAGGATTTATAAACAACAACAAAAAAATTTCTATAAAATCAAGTTTGTATATCATTATTTAAGTTTTAGTTTGCTTAGGAAAAAATGAGATTAATATTTAAAAAAATTAAGGTTATTACATCCATGTATCCCTCTGCGTGTGCTTTTAAAGTACTGTAACAATGATCTACAGGGCTTTGACACCTGGGATCAAAAGGACACCAATCCTGCTAAATTTGAAACACTAATAGCAATTAAATTCCCATCTTCAGACCCTATAGAAGATGCCAATCAAAATTAGCACATTCCTGAGACACAAGGCCAGAAATTAAAGCTATTTTAGCTCAAGACCCAGGGACTATCACCGAAGAGGTGGGTGCATGAAATTGTAAGGGCCGATTTTGAAGGATAAAATATGTTTATTTACTGTATAAATTAATCATGAATGTTAAAGACACTGAAGCACGATGAGCATATTGGCCCCTGTGTCAAATTAACAAGATTTTCTTGAAGCATTAACTGACTCCTTAATAATGTTTATAAAGGTTATAAAAGGCTTATGGAAGTTGTATCTTGTGGTCAAGATTAAAATTTTATTGACTGTTTATAACATTTTCAAACACAAATTTAACTGGCTTAATGCTGTTTTTATTAGGGCTTATTGTATGGAATATTTAGTCTCCTGTCTCCAAGAATGAAGGTTTTTGCCTTTTTTGAAATCCTTCTTATCACTTTGGTCAAATGAATGATCCTATTTTGTTATATCAAGAATTTTAAACCTTTGATATTTGACAAATTTTCCAAAATCAAATTATAAGATTATATGTTATATATTTTTCCAACCTAATTAACTCTTTAAGATATTATGTTCCCTAAAGTCAAAAAATTACATAGTTTGGCTTATTTGGTACAAAAATTATACAGGAAACATTTTCAAATTTGAAATGGTGCTTGATTTACTCTAGGCCATATTTATATAAATATGTTATTGGTATGTGATCCAAAATCATGGGAAACTCCTATAATTCTGATGTGACTTAGTATATGTTATCAGTAATAATTATAATTGCTATGTTAAGTTATTGTGTGCCACAAAGGTAACAAATTTCCTTGTCAATTGTGTCTTTGACTGTGGCTGCCCTGAAACATTTTGTTACCCACAAACAATTGTTATCCTGTTTTGATCCTCCTTAGAAGATGGTTTTATTATCAGCTATAGACCTCTAACAGGTATTCTAAAATGGAAGTTTCTGGTAACTTTGGAAATTGTGACATTAGAATAGAGGAAAAAACTTTCAGAACTCTCAAGGAGAGCTGAAATGTTCATGAATATCAAGCAGAACAGAAGTTAAGTGCATAAACTGAATGGTTAGAAAACTAAAGTAATCTCTTTGGCTTTTTTTGCTTTAAATGTTGCTGATTCTTTGTTTTTTTTTTTCAGAGTCAATGAAACTTTTTTTTGAGCTATTGATCAGGTTTAGTATACAATTTGGTATACTCTTATGAACAAAATTTGGAGCATATGTTTTATCTCTCTACCTGATTTCTCCAGAATTTGAAAACTATTTGTAAATATTCCTAACTTATGGCAATACAGTTATTTGCATAAGTGCAATAAGAATCTGTTTTCATTTTGCAACAGGACACAATTGGAGAAACTGGTTATTTTACCAAGGCTTTGACTAGAATGGTGTCTTTCCTTTAAGTAATAAAACTTGACTTATAAAGCCAATAAAGCCCCTTGGGAAACTGGCCTCATACCTTCACTGTACAGGGTTCCTGACCTGTGGTAAGTAAAGAATGCCACTTTCTAACTGGCCCAGGAGCCCCAAGTTCATCTTGGAACTTAAAGACGAAAGGATCACTCAACTCATAGATATTTGATTGCACAATTCTATGGCTTGGCTTGGTTTCAAAAAACTCTTATCTGAGATTCCTTCTATGGAACAAAGTTCCATCAAAGCCAATTTAAAAGCCCACGTTAAAAACAATTATTCTTGCTGTACTGTATACAAGATATTAGGCCAAGTACAATAAAGCAAATCAGTCATATCATGATTTGCTTTTAGTAAAAATGGGTAACTGGAGAAAGAAAAATTATGTTTCAAAAACTATAGTACGGCTATTGTTAGATTCTTAGTCTTGCTGAATGTTTTTCAATTTTATTATTTTCTACACTTTGGATGGAATTCTAACTTTTCTTGGCTACAAGTTCTCAACTTTGTTTTTCCCATTTTTCCTAATTTGGAGTTACTGGAAACTAAGCTGTACTTTTGTAAAGCCCTGCAAACTAAGCTAGAAAACCTAAATTCAGAAGAAAGTAATGGCAATCTATTTACGTACATATACCACTTTCATACTGTCTACTGATGCATGGACTTTGGAGTAATGTGGGCTATATCAATTTTCCAGAATTGTTATTTTGTTTGTTGTTGTTTTTCTCCCTTCCTCCCCCTATTTTATCTTCGCAGAACATGAGACTTCACAACCTTCTAAAAATGAGCTTTCCTAATAACTCAATACCTACCTGTCTAGGAATAAAACATCCTAGTTATGAGAGTTCAGATGAAACCTGGAAACAGAGACTCATTTTCTTCTAAAATGCTTTATCCAAAAGATTTTAAAAAGGAAAGGGGGGGAAGTGTGAAAGAAAATTATATTGGGCCCCCAAAATCACTAAACTAAAGGGAAAAGTGAAGCTTGGAACTGTTTAGAGCAAACCGGCCTCCCATTCTATTCAAAGTTATCCTTCTGTTCAGTGAAATAAATTCGTATCTGATTGCCTCCTTTGGAAAGGCTAATCAGGAACTTCAAATAATTCAACCATTTGTCTTGTATCTACCTACGACCTGGAAGCCCCCTCTCCACTTTGAGTTGTCCCACCTTTCCAAACCAAACTAATGTTCATCTTAGATATGTTGATTGAGGTCTGATGTTTCCCTAAAATAATTAGAACCAAACTATGCTCTGATCACCTTGGGCACATGTCATCAGGACCTCCTGAGGCTGTGTCATGGGCACACATCCTCAACCTTGGCAAAATACACTTTCTAAATTAACTGATACCTCTCTCAAATTTTGGGAATTCACATTATCATATCTAATACTGTTCATTTTCTTGAATTAATCTAGATTTCTATTTAAAAATATTTTCCCTCTTTCTGAAGTATTTCCTTTAGAAATAGCATAAAAGCCGGAAGAAATGACATAGAAATACAGCGCTATCAGTTTCTTATATCAGAAGTGTCATAACATTACTTTAAGGAAGATGGCAATAAGTGTAAAGGTTTATACTATAAAACCTAAGGCTGAAATATTAATTTATAACATAGAAAAGTATAGCTAATATTGAAACAAGGAAATGCAATGATACCATAAAAAACACTCAATTAATTTGAAAGAAGATATATTTAAAAAGAGGGACAAACTACTAGGTCCTTAAAATAAGCAGGCAGATAATGCAGGGTTTTTAGTATCTGTTAATATTTTGGATTTTATTCTAAGTCAGATAAGAATGTCCTGAATGGTTTTCATCAGAGAGGTAATCCAATAAGATTTACTTTACTAAAAATAATAAAGAAAGAAAGAAAGAAAGAAGAAGGATGAAAAGAAAAAAGGATGCAGTGGTTGCCTGAACACAATACAAAATCTTCGCTGACTGCCTTGAGATGGAATTAATAGGGAGGCAGTTTCAATTTGGGAGATATGCTAGCAGGCTACTTTTATAAATAGACTAGGGTAAATGTCTTCACTAACAACTCAACTAACATAATAAATGCAACAGATTCCTGCTGTGTCTACACATTTTCTATCGAAATTAAAGAATAATTTGATTCAGGGTATTCTTAAACTAGAATAGCTGCCCTGCCCCTGGGTGTTTGCAGACTCTTTTATACATATTTGAACTAACAGCACTCACATTCACACAACTTGCAGTGAAAAATCCTTCCATACCTGTTAGGTGCCTGAGGCTGAAGACCTTCTCCTTCTGGTAAAGAAATTAGCTTCTTTAGTATGTATAATACCTTAATTTTAATTAATAGAAAATAAAGTGACAGAAGAAGTTTAACAAATTATTGAAAGATAGCTTTCAACATCCATTTCATTACAAATTTAAATTTGATCACCATTTTCAGACTTTCCTTTTAAGCCATGGCAGAGTAATGAGTAATGACTTAATCTCTTGCCTTAAGCATATCAACAAATTGACAAAATATATTTAAAAAATAGATTGCAGACATTGGATAATATGCAGCACTAGATAGTGGTTGTGAAAGAATAAAAAACAAGGTGAGCCCTCCACTTTGCTAGTTTAATGCCTAGAAAGAGTGTCCAGGCCACATTACTAGGGAAGGTCATCCAAACAGAGCAGGATGTCTTCCTGGACTGGAGAGACAGAGGGAAGATTTTCAAGCCACAATGGCATTCGGAGTTTACAGAGTAGATAACTGTGAACTGTGTGGAAATTAGATTATTGCTCAGAGTTCAGGAAGCTCAGGAGACCGGCAAAGCATTCCCTTCTAGACTTCAATTGAGTAATTATCAGCAAATATCTGTGACTACATAGCACAAGGCAGAAAGAGGGTGTTGAGAGGATACACCAGAAACAAGAGTCTGGAAAAATCATAAGAGATCGTAGAATTTGGAATAGTTTGTGTTCCACTAGCAAGGGTTGAATAAACTTGTAATATGTGGGGCATCAAGTAGAGTACTCAGAATTCTATTGCCTCATTAGTAGGCAAAAAAGATTACACCTAAAGACTGTTCTTGCCCTACTCATCTGATGATTAAATGTAAGCCTTGAAAGATTTATAATATTTTTGAGTAACTTCACTGTGTCCCAAAATGGAAATAAAATGTGTTTTTTAAATTACAAAATATCCAGCATTCAAAAAGATACATTATAGACTATCTGTACCCCAAGCATACAAATAAGCAAGAAAATGTAGCCTATAAGCAGATAAATGTTAATTGGGCAGGGGATGGTGGCTCACATCTGTAATCCCAACACTTTGGGAGGCTGAGGCAGGCAGATTGCTTGAGGTCAGCAGTTTGAGACCAGCCTGGCCAACATGGTGAAATACCATCTCTACTAAAAAATACAAAAAATAGCCATACGTGGTGGTGCATGCCTGTGATCCCAGCTACTTGGGAGGCTGAGGCAGGAGAATCCCTTGAACCTGGGAAACAAAGGCTGCAGGGAGTCAGGATCCCGCCACTGCACTACAGCTGGGATGAAAGAGCAAGACCCTGTCTCAAAAAAAAAAAAAAAAAAAAAAAAAAACTTAAAAAAACTTAATCAAAACTAACAGAGAAATGATAAAATCTTATAATTAGTAGTCAAGGGTATTAACAAAGTTATTATAATCATATTTGACAGTTCAAGAATGAGGAGGAAAGCATGAGATGTTAACAACAGAGAATATTGGAAAAACAAAATAAAACACCCAATCAAACTTTTGGAGAAAAAAAATATAATTTCTTGGCTAAAAAGTGCACCGGAGGGTATCAACAACAGAACAACATGGAAGAAAAGGTAAGTGAACTTGATGACACAGAAAGGAAAACCATGAAAAATGAAACAAAAGATTAAAAAGACAGAAAAAAAAAGAACGAGAATAGAGCATCAGTAAGCTGTGAACAATTTTAAGTTGGCTAATATACATGTAATTAAAATTCTTATAGGAGAAAGGGGCGCAGAAAAATATTTGACAAAAGTAATGGACAAAATGTTTCAAATTTTATGAAATTTGTTGAAAACTATGAACATATACATTCAAGAAACTGAAAAAAACTACACGCAGACAAAATAAAACAAAAAATGAAGGCTATTACGTGAAATCACTAATATGACATTGCTTAACAAAAGAAATAATAAGAAAATCTTAAAAGCAGCCAGAATTAGAAAGACAGATTATTTACAGACAAATAAAGAATGACAGAATATTCCCATTCAGTCTTAACAAGCCAGAAGAGTCATACAATGCCTTATTATTCCATACTCAGCAAAGAAAAAGAGGAAGAAAAAAAGGAAAAGTTAATACTTTCCTATATCTTCAAAAGCTGAACAAATTTATCTTGAGTCAAGCTATCAGAAATTTTGAAAGACATCTCAGGCAGAAAGAAAATGATTTCAGATAAAAATCTGGATTCATGTAAATGAATGAAGATTCATAGAAAAGCTAAATATGAGTGTAAATATAAAATATTGTATTTTCCCTTTACAAAGCTCTTTTAAAATAATTGTTAAAAGCTAAAGAATTAGCAAGTATTGTGGGTTTTATAACATATGTGTAATTAACATGTATGACCATAGTAGCACAAAGTCCAGAAGAGTGAAAATGGAAGAATTATGGGATTAATTTCTTACATTGGAGTATAAGAAGTAGTATAACATTACTTAAGGTAGACTATAATAAAGATATTTAGTATAAAAACTATGGCAATCGCTAAGAATAAAGCACAAGCAGACATAATTAAGGAGCCAAAAATGACATAAAATGGAGTCCTAAAAATAACCCAAGAGTGCACAGAGAAACAAAACAGAGAATAACAAAGAATAGAAGTCACAAATAAAAGAAAAGAAGCAATGTGGGAGATTTAAGCTCAAATATAAAATAATCACAGCAAAATATATATGGTCTAATTACATCTAACCAAAGCAGAAGTTAGATCAGATATAAAAGCAAGATCTAAGAAACTCACTTTAAATGTGAATAATTAAGTTAAACTTTTAAATGTGGCACAAATTCCAAGAGAGTGGAAATAGAAAACTGGGGTTAGATTCTTGCACTATACGATAAGAAGTAGTATAACATTACTTAAGGTAGACTATAATAAAGCTATTTAATAAGTGGGAAAATATCTACAATGATAATACTAATCAAAAGAAGTCTAGAATGACTTATATTAATATCAAAGTTAGACTTTAGATTAGATAATATTACTAGATATTTTTAAAAGTAATTTTATAATGATCAATTCATTGAGAAGACATAACAATATTAAACTTCTATTCACCTAATAACAGATGTTCATAATACATGAAGCAAAAATGATAGGACTGAAAGGAGATATTATTAATTTATAATTAATCAAAGAAGTAAACACTCTTCTGTCAAAAATTAGTAGAATAAGTAAACAGAACTTTGTAAGAATTCTGATGACTTAAACAACACCATAAACCAACTTGGATAAAGTGACACCCATAGAACACTGTAACCACTGCACAATAACAGGAAAGTGCATATAAGGAACATTTACCAAGATATACAGTTGTATAGCCCAGAAAATAAGACTTGACAAATGTATAAGTATTGAAGTTATACAGTGTGTGTCTTTTGACAACAATGAAATGCAGTTAGAGATGATTTACAGAAAGATGTCTAAAACATCTTAAATTATTTTAAAATGAAGTGACATGTGTCTAAATAACTCATTTGTTAAAGAAAAAAACACCAGGAAAATGAACAAGTCTATGAAATTAAGTAAAAGTAAACACAATAAATTAAAGAGAAATTATAGCACTAAATATCTATCTTAGAAAAGTTCATAAAGCAATGATATAAATTTCCACCATAAATAATGAAGGCCAAATTAAGGGCAAAATAAAGTGAAGAAAGAAATTCGTAATTGGTATGTTTTGGAAGTTTATCCCCATCAAATTTCATGTTGAAATGTGATTCCCAGTATTGGAGATGGGGCCTAGTGGGAGGTAATTAAATCATGGGGATAGATCCCTCTTGAATAGTTTAGCACTATCCCCTTGATGATAAGTGAATTCTTGCTCAGCTAGTGCATGAGAGATCTGGTTGTTTAAAAACATCTGGGACCTCCCTCTTCTCTCTCTCTTGCTCCTGCTGTCACTATGTAAGGCACTACTCCCCCTTTGCCTTCCACCATGATTAGAAGCTTCCTGGGGATCACCAGAAGCTAAGCAGAGTACCACACTTCCTGTACAACCAGCAGAACCACAAGACAAACTTCTTTTCTTTACAAATTACTCAGTCTCAGATATTCCTTTATAGAAACACAAAAACAGACCGACACAGAAATAAAGAACAGAAATCAGTGAAATAGAAAACAGAAAAATGATGTAAAAAATCAATAAAACAAAAGCTGGCTGTTGGATATCAATACAATTGATAAACAACTAACTTTCCTATACAGGCAAAAAGAGAATACATGAATTAAGATTATCAGGAGTGAGAGGGAAGACATAACTACTGACGTTACAATTGTAATAGGGCAATACTATTAGCAATTTTAAGTGGGTTTTATTCATATTATTGTTTCAAGGTTTGGTTTATAAGATTGAATAATAGCTTGGACTTAGAGACTGAGAGAAAAAAATTCAAAAGTTAAATCCATAGATTTTTTACTTTAGGTATTTGTAAATGGCACTGAGATGGGAATTAGGGCTGAGACATTTTGTTAGAAAATTAAGAAATGCCTTTTAGAAATTATTAAGTTTGAGATGCCTATGTAACATTTAATTAGAGATGTCATACAGACATTACAATGATCAAGAAGTCAATTGCGCATAAAATTCTATAGTTAAGAGAAGATGTAACTTGAGACAGAATAATTTTATATTCCATATGAAAATAGCATAGCTACAGTTAGTCATCATTTCTTTGACATATAAAATCAAATACAGAAAAAGGAAATAAAACACAGCTATTTTAAATATTTAACAATTTTTGATTTAATAATCTAACAAAAAGTAATTATCGATTATTATCTTACCTTTAAATGTTTGGAGTACCAAAAATTGTAAGAGACAAGGAAGTACCATAAACTCTGAACATTTTTGAAATTACATGGAGCCGCTAAAGATTGAACAAAAGTAGGAAGCTGGCAGAAATAAGATGGCTAAATCTCTGATAGAAAATAATCATTATACAGACACCTGATGGGGATTATTTAAATATGAGAGTCAAAGATGTGGAACCTAATTTCTGCCTATAAACACTGCTCATATCTCTGAACCATATATGTGCAAGACGGATACCAGCTAAAGTTTAAACAAACTTACGGGAGGTTGGAGATGTCATTTAAGAGTGAGAGAGAGTATTCAATGTGAGTTTATTTACAAAAACTGCCTGCTTTTAAGCAAAATGATTAACATTCTTCTGAGGAATATAACAAAATGTACTGTGTATTATAATATTCAAAATGTTCAGAATACAATAAAAATACTCAGCACAATGAGAATTAGAAAAATATAACTCAAAGCCAATCAAAGGGAAAAAAGAAACCCATGATGACCCAAAAGTTAATATTAGCAGACAAATATTTAAAAATACATATTTTAACAATGAGGTAGAAAAATATAGAGAGATAAAAAAATCTCAGCAGAGAAATAAAAACTATTAAAAGATACGAATGGAAAATATACAAATCTCTGACATTTCTTTGTTGTGGATTAATGAAGGATTATAAAAGCAAATATTGCCCCAACCTATTTTTATGTCTACAGGTTACCTATGCCTTGAGATATAGTCACTAAAATATACAGTTATTTTAAAATTATCCTTCTCCTAACAAGAAAAGATGCAACAGGTCAAACTGTTAAGGAAGTTTCTTAAAAAACAAGACAAATTTCCAATACAAATATTTTATATTTGAAACAGCTAAGTTATTTTGCAGTATTCAATATAGTATCTCTCTATGTCACGGCAACTATTAATGCAAAATGATCTCTTGTTTAGGAAATATAAAGAGAATACAATGTTTTCAGTCTGCCCATAAATGCTTTGTATGGTAATACATGTATAGTAATCACAAAATAAATGATAAATACATGAGTAAGTGAAATTATAATTCTGTCTCTTAGAGAATTATCTGTAGAAATACAATCTGTGATATTAGCATGTACTGTAAACACTGAAAAAATGCATCGCATATTGAATTTGATAAAAGGAACATCTAAGCATAACAGTCAAAAATATAAAAAAAAGTTAATTTGATTTTTCTCTCACTATTTCTACTGGGAAACAGAAATTATACAAATAAAACTACTAGTAAATGCGGAGCAAAATGAAAAGGAGATTCATAGATGTGCTACCATGAAGCTACAATGTCAGATACATTAATAAATACTATTTTATAATGTCAAAATAGGGTGCTTTAAATTGTTAAGTAATATACCTTAAAATATCTTATATCTATCCTGTAGGAAAAGGTTTCTCGACCTAGAGTATGATTTAAAATTATGCCTAAAATTCATAAAAATAGTCCTATTTGCAATAAATTAAATTAAAAATAATGAACTGTATAATG
Organism: Homo sapiens; assembly: GCF_000001405.40. Classification (NCBI taxonomy): domain Eukaryota; kingdom Metazoa; phylum Chordata; class Mammalia; order Primates; family Hominidae; genus Homo; species Homo sapiens. The sequence goes on along the minus strand of NW_021159994.1, from coordinate 5,268 downwards.
ACAGTATTGAAAATGATTTAAATTACTTTCTAAATCAAGGGGAAATATAATCAAAATTCAGCAAAATATATTTGTTCATTTTTATCAGAACTTTATAATTTCTGTTAGCCTGGCAGATATTATTTTCTGAAAAAATGATTTGTCGCAAATTGCCCCAAACACAAACCATGCTAATTTTTGGCTTTGGTTAATTAATCTGCAATAGCAAATGAAATGCTAATCCAAAACTTTTCATCAGGTGAATTTCTGTGTAACTCCCTGATTTGAAGAATTGGCACAGGAAAATCCATTGCCATGGGGAAAAATTATATAACCAAGAGTGAAGGGAAAAATCATTTTAACGGTTTCATTTTGGACTCAATCTCTTCATACAGATACTTTTTAAAATTTACTGACACATTTATTTATTTACCATAGTGTTATTTAGCAGCTACTATGTGTTAGACATTATTCTGGGGATAGATAACAAAAACAATCTTTGCTCTCAAGTACAATACATTATTATAATGGAAGAAAATAAAAACAAACCTGTTATACATATATACCCACACACGTGCATGCATATATATACACATATATGATATATAAGATATTACATATGTATTTTATATATTATATATACATGTACTATAATATATATTGCCTAATATAAATAAATATATTTATTATAAACATATATAATATATAATATAAATATATTTATATTTAAAAATTTTATACATAGATAAAATATATATTCACCATCAAGTGGTGATACCTTTTATGGAGGAAGAAGTAAAATAAGCTTGGAAGAGAGAGAAATAACGTATTTGTTGTGAATATTGAGCCTTCTTACACATTGTTTCTCTTTTCTTTTTCTTAGCACCTTGCCTGTTTCAGGTGGTTCCCTTATACTTTTGGGCTTGGCTGAAATACTGCCCCCATGATGGAAGAATCTAGATTTCTAAGAAGTCACTGAGGGGCCAGCTGATGATACTGAAAAGCATGAAGGAAACAGCTGTTCACTGAGTGAGAATTGACAAGCTTTGAAGATAATCCCTTTCTCTCTCTCAAGGTTAACTTCAAGAGCCTTTCCCTCTCTCAAGGTTAACTTCATCCTTGCACCTTTTCATGAAAAATTTAGTTCATTGTGACTACACATCAGTGAAACATTTTTGACAATTTTAACTCCTTGCAGTGAATGTCGTAAAGAATCATATTTCCTCGCTTCTTTCCCTCTTTTTTCTTTCTCCACTTTTCTCTATTTCTCATTCAAACCACTCGAGGCTTACGAATTGCAAATAAAATGTGGGCACTTTCATCTTTACTTGAGGCTCTGCTTTCCAGCCATTCCTACTTCAAGTATGAATTAGGAACAGCATCTCGGAGAAATCCGTTAAAAATGCAGAATCTCCGCTGGGCGCAGTGGCTCACGCCTGTAATCCCAGCACTTTGGAAGGCCGAGGCAGGTGGATCTCCTGAGGTCAGGAGTTTGAGACCATCCTGGACAACATGGCGAAACCCCGTTTCTACTAAAAATACAAAAATTAGCCAGGCGTGGTGGCACACTCCTGTAATCCCAGCTACTCCGGAGGCTGAGGCAGGAGAATTTCTTGAACCTGGGAGGCGGAGGTTGCAGTGAGCCAAGATCGTGCCACTCCACTCTAGCTTGGGTGACAAAGCGAGACTCTGTCTCAAAAAAATAAAACTAAAAAAAAGGATGCAGAATCTCTGGCCTCATCACATGTCTACTAAAATAGAATCTTCAATGTAACATGATCCCTAGCTAACATGTATGCATATGCAGAGTTTATAGTACTTCCTTGTCTCTTACAATTTTTGGTACTCCAAACATTAAAAGGTAAGATAATAATCGATAATTACTTTTTGTTAAATTATTAAATCAAAAATAATTAAATATTTAAAATAGCTGTGTTTTATTTCCTTTTTCTATATTTGATTTTATGTGTCAAAGAAATTGATGACTAACTGTAGCTATGCTATTTTCATATGGCATATAAGATGAGACACAATGCTGGTCTACATAACTTTGTGGCAATAGTATACTGAGATAAATACAGAAAGTGAGAGTAAATGCTTAAAAACTTTTATAGCAATTTTATATTATCATACAATTATTACTTTATTTTACAAATGCACCTTTCTGCAAAACATTGAATTTTTAAAGAGCTGTTTCTTCAATGTAGGTAACTCATGAAGTCTTCTTCTGGAAGACCCAAACTACGTAATTGATTTCTGTCTTGATAAGGTATTTAAAGATAACCATATTGATAATATTACCAGAGATTTAAAGGAGATAAAGGAGTTAGCGGTGCATACAACTGAGAGGAAAGAGTTCCAGGCCAAAGAAGCAATAATTATAAAGGTCCTGATTCAAAAGTGTCATTCTGGTTGATTTCAGAATAATAACAAGGAGGTTGTATTGACTGGGACAAAGAGTTAAAGAGGAATTGGGGAGAGAAGGTCAGAAGTGTGTTTGTAACTGTTTGCATGTGTATGAGGGCTGGATCCACTTTCTCTGGGTCTTTGTGGGACATGCTAAGATTTCTCACTTTTTATTCTAAGTGAGATGGAGGAATTGAAGTGAGGAAAGATATGATTAATTTGCCATTTAAAAAGATAACTCTGTTAATTCTTTTAGGAATAGAATCAATGTAGGCAAGATCGGAAACAGGACGAGTTAGGAGATGGAGACTATTGGAATGATTCAGGTGAGAGTTGAGGGCATCTGGTATCACTAAAACCTATAACAAAGAATAAGCTGTGAAGTGGATGAGCACTGAATGCACATTAAGGTTAGTGCCAAGAGAAAATTAAAGAAAAACGTAAGTTTTCTGCCTGAGCAATTGGAAAGATAGAGTTGCCATTAACAAAGGTGAAAAGAGCAGGTTTGACTCACAAGATATATCCAAAGTTCTGCCCACACACTTGTAAAACTTTAATGTGCAATAGTAAAGACAAATGCATCTATTGACTGTAGAAATCTTATAGTCTCATGATGCCTTATGAGCACAAGTATAAAAATGAAAACAAAGATGATATATTAGAATGCAGGTAACAGCGTTGAAAGAAAGTCTTGAAAGAATTTCAGACAAAGGTTAATATCCCGATTATATCATTTACTAGGTGAATCACATTATACCATTTGTTAATCTGAGTACATAGTTTCAGTTTTAAAATGGGCATATTATTTACACCTTAGATATCTTAGAAAAACTAGAATTACTTATCATTGGTATAACTGGCATTTAGTACATTCTGTACCACCATAAAAGGAGCAAAGGAAAGTAAATTAGATATGTTGACTCTTAGGAACTTGAAAAATATGAGTGAGGAAATAACAGTTGGAATTGAAAGCACCACTTACCTTTCATAATCCTCTTAAAGGGATAAAATAAAAACAGGTGTGTTTTAAGTTTCTCATAGATTTCTCCTACTATAATTTCCAAGTTTTTTTTAAGCTTTTCCTGTGAAAATTCACACTCTGTCTTTTGTGCCCTTATTACAAAATGTTATTTTTATGGTTTGTTAATCACTGCACTGGGAGTTATGAAGATGCTAACCTCGGCATTTGAACATTATCAAATACTTGAACATTTCTTAACTCTGTTTCTTCAACTCTGAGGTACTTAGAATAGAGTATATTTAGGACTCCTACCAGTTCATAATAAACTGTATGATTTGAAAAGTAAATAAGTATTACAAAAGAACAATCAGTAGTTTGTAAAGACTGGTTTCTTCAGCATTGTATAGTTAGAGAACTCTTCCTGTATAGACTAATCAGGCTGTCTAAAGGCGATGTGCTTCTTAGAACTTCATAGTGCTCAACTCAGACATTTACCAAATATTTTCTGTAGCTGATATTGTTGGCCTTCTATAATCATAACTACAAAAAAGTAAACAGGTTTCCCTCAGTGCAGTCCACGGAGATTGATTCATTCAGAAACTTTAATATTTGAAACTCTAAATAAATTTACAATTATCTTAAAAGCAGAGAGATAGAAGTAGGTATCACTCTATCATTCATCACTTACATGAAACCTATAGGAACAAAGCATGCATTTTGTATGTATGCATATTCAACACCTATTTATTCAGAATATTAAGGGTATATAAAATTCAAAATGAAGGTATTTTCTGGCTAATGATGTCATACGTGTCATCCATATGTCATTAATTTCAAGAAATCAGAAACAATACAGTGTACTTTGTGTAAAAATATACTTCAAATTTATAAGTATAATGTATGTAGACTGATGAATCAGGAGCCATTTTAAATTCTTTTCACAACCCTTATTATTAATATAAATAATCTGTCTAACCTTTGTCAATGAAAGATAGTATGGGAAAGAAAAATCTGGCTAAAGGTGATATATGACTATTTAAAAAAACACAGAAACTGTAGTTAACCAAGTATCATTGAGTTCTACTTAGCTGTCAATGATACGACTGATTATTTAAGAACTGAGTTTCAGTACAACAGGAGTTAATTACTAATGAGATTATTGTTTTAAAGGTTCATGTCTCTTTATATTTACATAAATGGTAGTTATCCAGTAATCAGAGACTCTCTTTGACATGCTTTGGTTCTGTGTCCCCATACAAATCTCACCTTGAATTGCAATCCCCATAATCCCTATGTGTCAAGGGCGGGACCAGGTGAAGGTAATTGAATCATGGGGGTGGTTTCCCACATGCTGTTCTCATGATAATGAGTGAGTCTCACGAGATCTGATGGTTTTATAAGCATCTGGCATTTCTTCTGCTTGCACTTTGCCTTCTTGCTGCCTTGTGAAAAGGTGCCTTGCTTCCCCTTCCCCTTCTGCCATTTTTGTAAACCTCCTGAGCCCTCCCAAGCCATGCTGAACTGTGAGTCAATTAAACTTCTTTCTTTTACAAATTAGACAGTCTCAGGTATGTCTTTATAAAGCAGTGTGAGAATGGACTAATAAAGTAAAGTGGTACCAATTGGGTCAAGTGCTGCCATAAAGATACCCCAAAATGTGGAAGTGACTTTGGAACTGGGTAACAGGCAGAGGTTGGAACTGTTAGGGGGGCTCAGAAGAAAGTTGGAAAATGTTGGAAAGTTTGAAACTTCCTACAGACTTACTGAATGGCTTTGACCAAAATGCTGATAGTGATATGGACAATGAAGTCCAGACTGAGGTGGTCTCAGATGGAGATGAGCAACTTGTTGGGAACTGGAGTAAAGGTCACTCATTCTATGCTTTAGAAGAGAGATTGGTGGCATTTTGCCCCTGCCCTAGA